>NC_000009.12:107311461-107462976 GCF_000001405.40 Homo sapiens
AATAGAAGGAGTACCAAGATTGAAAATTTTTCCCAAACCACAAATGTTGTAGATAAAGCTTTTGGATTTAATCTAGAAGAGACAGTTTAAATACTGTAGTCAGACTTTTATATTTAATTAAAATCAAAGAATCTGTTTACCAATTGGATAGTTACTAAACTAATGTAAATTAAATTTTATATACTTTTTAAAATGTGATTTTTCTAAAATCCTTTTGTAGTACATCGGGTGATTCTTCTCGGTCAAACCTTTTTGAAGATGCAACGAGTGCACTTGGTAAGTATCTGCTTTTCCTTATAAATAACCTATAAAGAGATAGGAAAGAGGTTTCACTTTTCTAGATCATGATAAAAGTGTTAATAATTTGCATGGTTGTTTATAATCAAGCTGTAAGATGATTGATTTAGGTAATTATTCAATTAATAGTGTTACTAAAGACTTTTAATGTTTATGTATTGAGTTCTTTAAAACTTGCTCTGAGTTGAGCCTACTTGGTTAAAGCAAATAAATTTCCATTTTCCGGATGTGAATTTTAAATGTGATCCTAACATGGTTGATCTGTGTATGGATTTATTACAAAGGGTCTTTGAAATGGGTATGAAATTTTTCTAAGATCTGCCTCACACTTCATGTGTATTCACCATTAGACTTAATTCAACTTGATGGCACTATACATTCCCATCTACATCTTGTTGCTTGCATTGGCTTGCAGCAAAAATGCCTTTTTATCCCAACTTTTAATTTTACCTACTGAATAATGCCTTTCCATCTCCCATCACCCCAATCTGTCAAAATGAAGCAGCATTTTTTTTCTCCCATTGTAGCATCTCTGATACAGTTCCTGCTAATTACTGGTTTATTGGCTGGCAACTCCATTCCTAGTTTGTTACTTTTAAATGGCAGGGAGGGAGAAAGCGAGGAATAGGTAGAAACAGCAGCTTTGGTGCAGTACAGGCTTCTGGATTCCTGCTTAGCTTCTACAGCAGCAGGGTTCCAGCAGCAGTACCACCTCCTAGCATCTGAGTTGGTTCTCTGAGCTAGTTGGACTGGAACTCCGTGATGCCCTTGTTGCTGTGGAAAATGGCATGTACATTTAGTGGCAAAACGGCAGTTTAAATTATCTAAGATCGCCTGGGTGTGACAACCCCAGATTTTCATCTTTGAGGAGCAGTGTCCTAAAACCACTCTGCTATCAAATACAGTGTGAGTTAGTCTCTAGCCAGGAAAACAGAAACCACTCTATTTCAAAGAGGGAAAGGCTTAATCTTAGGAAATTGTTAGGAATTGGAAGGGCTGGAAAATAGGATTACCCAGAGAGGCAGTAAACTGTCTGTGGCCTCGGCTCCAGCTGGAGCCAGCTAGCACTTGCCCCTGATGGTGTTGAAGGCTCTGGCTGTGGTCACTGCTGCTGCAGCTGGAATGCATTGATGCTCCTGAGTTCCCGGGAGCCTGGGAGGCCATGCTGTAGCTGCTGCTACTCAAGCCTCTGTGACGATGTCTTCCCATTCTCAGCTTTATGGTCTCGGGATCCCTCTACATTTTCATCTTTAATTTACCCAAGTCTCTATGTTGATTCCCTGCTTTTTTATTTTATTTTATTTTTCTGATTTATCTTGTTGCTGTACAAATTAACCTTGCTTCTTTAAACTTTCCTTCTTTGGCTGCTGTGACACCACTCTTTTCCTGATCCATACCTCAGGCTCTTCCTTCTCAAGCTTTCTAGTTAATTCTTTTCTTTTTTCCTTTATTTTCTTTTCTCTTTTCTTTCTTCCTTTCCTTTTCCTTTCGTAGTCTCACTCTGTCGCCCAGGCTGGAGTGCAGTGGCATGATCTCAGCTCACTGCAACCTCCACCTCCCAGGTTTAAGCGATTCTCCCGCCTCAGCCTCCTGAGTAGCTGGGATTACAGGCACGTGCCACCACGCCCGACTAATTTTGTGTATTTTTAGTAGAGATGGGGTTTCACCCTGCTAGCCAGGATGGTCTCAATCTCCTGACCTTGTGATCTGCCCGCCTCGGCCTCCAAAGTGCTGGGGTTACAGGCGTGAACCACAGTGCCCGGCCAGTTAATTCGTTTTATTTTACCTGACTATTAAATGTATGAGTTTTCTATGGTTCCATTCTAGGTCATAGTTCAAAGTTTAAATTATGGGAATGACCAATACCATCCATATACTATATAGATTCCCCAAATTACAGCTGCAGTACAGATCTCCCTCTGAACTCCCAAACTCGTATCTTCACATTGTCAACTAGAAAACTTTAGAACCTCCATGACTTCAGGTTTCAAACTGACTCATTTTTTATTCCCCAGTCTGATTCTTTTCTTGTTCACTTCTTACTTGTACCATCATTCATTCATCCACCCTCTGCCTCTTTTGGCCCAGTAAGTCTGTTTCTTTTCTTTTCCTTTCTCCTCTCTCCTCTGTCCTCTCTCCTTTCTCCTTTCCTTTCTCCTTCCTTCCTCCTTCCTTCCTTTCTCCTTCCTTCCTCCTTCCCTTTCTTCCCCTCATTCCACAGTTACTAATGACTCTGTTTCTTAAAGTCTCTGGAATATTTGTTTTCACTGTCATTTAGTTGCCTTAGTTCAGGTCCTTATTTCACTTGTACTCTTGCATTATCCTTATCCACCTGGTCTGCCTCTTCCTTACCAGAGTGGAAAGCAACTCTCATGGGGTCTTTGTTAATTCTTTTAATAGTTCCTCATGACCTGGAAGATAAGTCCAAAGCTTATTCTTTTTAATTTTTAAAATTTGTATATAGGGAGTACAAGTGCAGATTTCTTACATGCATATATTATGTGGTGGTGAAGTTTGGGCTTTTAGTGTAGCCATCACCTGAATAATGAACATTGTACCAAACAGGAAGTTTTTGAACCCACACTCCACTCCCCACCTTTTTTGTAGTTTCCAGTGTCTGTTATTCCACTCTATATGATGTGTGCCTATTGTTCAGCTCCCACTTGTGAGGACATGGGGTATTTGACTGTTACTGAGTTATTTCATTTAGGATAGTGGCCTCTGTAGTTCTATCCATGTTGCTGTAAAAAAGACATGGTTTTATTCTTTTTGATGGGTGAGTATTATTACACACACACACCACATTTTCTTTATCTCATCCTCCATTGATGATTCCATATCTTTACTATTGTGAATAATGTTGTGATTAACATACAAGTGCAGGTATCTTTTTGATATAATGATTTATTTCCCTTTGGGTATATATACATAGTAGTGGGATTTCTGGATTAAATGATAGTTCTGTTTTTAAGTTCTTTCAGAAATTTCCGTACTGTTTTCCATAAAGGATGTACTAATGGACATTTCCGCCAGCAGTGTATAAGCATTCTATTTTCTCCACATCCTTGCCCAACATCTGGTATAAGATGGGGCATCTCATTGTGGTTTTAATTTGCATTTCTCTGATGATTGGTGATGTTGAGCATTTTTTCATGTTTGTTGGCCACTTGTCTGTCTTCTTTTGAAGAATGTTTTTTGCCAGTCATGTTTTTTGCCCACTTTTTAATGGGGTTATTTGTTTTTTTCTTGATGTTTTAAAGTTCTGGATAATAGCACTTTGTTAGATTGCCTAAGCCAGTGTCCAGAAGAGTTTTTCTAGGTTTTCTTCTAGGTTTTTTTGTAGTTTCAGGTCTTAATATTTAGGCTTTAATCTGTTTTGAGTTGACTTTTGTGTTTGATGAGAAGTCTGGGTCTAGTTTCGTTCTTCTAAATATGGCTATCCAATTTCCCAGCACCATTTGTTGAATAGGGTGTCCTTTCCCCGGTGTATGTTTTTGTTGACTTTGTTGAAGATCATTTTGGTTGTAGGTATGCAGCTTTATTTCTGGGTTCTCTATTCTGTTCCATTGATTGATGTGTCTGTTTTTATACCAGTACCATGCTGTTTTGGTTACAATAGCCTGGTAGTATTATTTGAAGTCAGGCAATATTGATCAAAGCTTATTCTGAATGACATATATAAGGTTCTTCATCACCACCTCTTTTGCCTCATTACTCTGTTTCTTGGCCAGTCTCTCTCGTTTTTGTTTTTTTTGTTTTGTTTTGTTTTGTTTTTGAGACTCTCTCTCTTTGTCACCCAGGCTGGAGTGCAGTGGCACAGTCTCAGCTCACTGCAACCTCCGCCTCTTAGGTTCAAGAAATTCTCCTGCCTCAGCCTTCCAAGTAGCTGGGATTACAGGCGCCTGCCACCATGCCCAGATAATTTTTGTATTTTTAGTAGATACGGGGTTTCACCATGTTGGCCAGGCTGGTCTCGAACTCCTGATCTTAGGTGATCCGCCTGCCTCGGCCTCCCAGAGTGCTGGGATTACAGGTGCGAGCCACTGTGCTGGCCTCTCTAGTTCTTTTTACAAGTCATTTGCCTTTGGACTTTTAAGATCTAAAAAGTATCACATTGCTTATGGGTATTTTTTTGAGATTGTATAATTTAACTAGGAAACATGATTTTAGGAGTCATAGTGTAATGATTAGGTGTGGAGACTCTTGACTGTCAGCCTGTGTTTGTATCTCTGCACCATGACTTAATACTTTTACGAATTTTTTTTTTTTTTGGAGACAGTCTTGCTCTGTCGCCAGACTGGAGTGCAGTGGCGTGATCTTGGCTCACTGCAATCTCCGCCTCCGGGGTTCAAGCAATTCTCCTGCCTCAGCCTCCTGAGTAGGTGGGACTACAGGCACGTGCCACCATGCCCAGCTAATTTTTTTTGTATTTTTAGTAGAGGCGGGGTTTCACCATGTTGGCCAGGATGGTCTCGATCTCCTGATCTCGTGATCTGCCCGCCTCGGCCTCCCAAGTGCTGGGATTACAGGCGTGAGCCACCATACCTAGTCTTTACCAAATTATTAATCTCTCCAAGCTGTACCCTCCTCATCTTTTAAAGGAGTTGAAATTAAACCTTTCTTATGAAGTAGTGAGAGAGAACTAAATGAGAAACACCATGTTAAAATAGTGCAGTTCTGATTTTTTGTAGCTCGTAATTTCGTTTGTATTGATACTGATTTCTGTATCTGGGAATTAGGTTACTGAACATGTATTGCTACTTGAGTTGCTTTGTGCTCGAATTATATCAGTAGATAAGAAAATAAATAATTAAAATTTATTGTTTTATGGGATGGGAAAAGGAAAGTCATTATTTTAAGCAAGATATCAAATGCTTAATCTGTTTGTGATATTTGGGGGTTTTTAGCTATTAAACACCTTTATTTTTGAAAATTCTGCAGAAAAAAATTATTCAACAGATACTCGGTTTCAGCTGTGTATCAGGGAAACATGCAGAATGACATGGTTTCCTGCACAGTCAAACTTGCATTCAGTTGGGGCAAGAAAAAAATAATGAAACATTAAAAAAAAAAAAAGATAAGTGATATTAACACAAAGGGCTTCCCTAAAGAAAAAACAGAAGGCTACCTAGGATGACTAGGCAATGCCTTTTAAATATGGAACTGAAGCATGTTGAAGGAACTGGCCATCTAAGATGGCTGGTGTTGTGTAAAGGCCCTGGGGCAGGAAAAGGTGTGGCCTGCTGAAGTAACACCGGGAAGATGAGTGTGGTGGGTGGAGGATTGTTGAGGGCTGGGAGCCAGAAATAAAATGAGGGGTTTTGCGCACACGCGTGCGTGTGTGTGTGTGTGTGTGTGTGTGTTTACTTGACTTTTGCAACTGGCTGAAGAACAGATTATAGATATGGAGACAAGAGTTGGAAACAGGGTGTAATCCCATCTAGAGACTGTTGTGGGCTTGTCTTCAGTGATGACAGTAGAGAATGAAGAGATGGGTTTGGGGTGTAATTTAGAGATAGGACCTACCAGGTATGCTGGTAAGTGAGGTGTGGAAGGAAGAGGAAAAGGAACTGAAATCACCAGGGTTTTTGTCCAAGTGCTTAGGTAAATAGAGGTGCCATTTGTTTAAAGAGAGCAGACAGACAATGGTGGGACACATTTGAGAGGGAAATCTGAATTGCAATTAGTTGAGGAATGAGTGGAATGTGAGAAAGTGGACACATGTTCAATAGCTATGGCTGTGATGAGAAGACAGCAGATGGTTCCTCAAAGAGGAATTAGGATGAAGTCAAAGGTGGGAGGTGTGTTTTTGTTTTAGAGTGAAATATAGGACATAGTTAACTACTGACCCAGGATAATTACACAGAGGGGTAAAGATGTTGGTGGAGAAGAGGGAGGATAACCAAATCCAGTTTGGTTTGAGTGTGAGGCAACAATAAAGGTAATGGTCCCCAGAACACAAGCAGAAGAAAGGATAGTTTTAAGTGAGGTAAGTTTATGAGGAAAATAGGTTTCATTTATTCAGAGTGTTGTCTGTATTGAGAGGAGGGAGCATAGGAGTCTGTAAGAAGTGACTTGGAATATTAGCGCTTTGGGCATTTTACCAACTTTGTATAGTGTACAAGATTTTAACTTTCTAGCTCCTAACCTCTCTTTCCCCCGTTTCAGTTATATAAGGTATCAAAGGGAAACTGTGAACTTGTTCCATCGGAGTTGATGGTTTGAAATACCATCCCTTCCCCAGCATGTTTTCAGAATTTGGTGTCTCTTCTTACCAGTTGCCTTCCCTGACCTCCTGCTAATTCTCCCTTACCTTCATACCTCATTTTTCTATTGTACTCTGAAACATATTATATGAGTTTCCTGTTGCTACTGTAGTAAGTTACCACAAACTTATTGGTGTAGAACAACACAGATTAACTGTCTTCTAGTACTGTAGGTTAGAAGTGTGACACAGGGCTCACTGTACTAAAATCAGGGAGCCGGCATTCCTTTTTGGAGACTCCGGGGAAGAATTTTTTTCCTGATCCTGTCCTACCATACCTTGGCTGGTAGCCCCTTTCTGCATCTTCAAAGGCAACAGCATAACATCTCTCATCCTGGTTTTGTCTCCTCCTCCTCACACCTGTTTCTCTGACCCTCTCATCTGCCTCCTCCTACTACTATTAAGGATTCATGTCATTACACTGGACCCACCTGGATAATCCAGAATGAGGTCTCTGTCTTAAAGTCAGCTGATTAGCAACCTTAATTTTATCTATAACCGCAATTTCCCTTTGCCTTGTAACCTATTTATAGGTTCCAGGGATCAAACCAGAGGGCATCTTTGGGGGACCATTACCTACTACATATATGTTGTAATTTATACTGTTACTCATCTTTGTATTCCCAGCATAGTAGTTCCTGAAATGTTGTATACATGAATCAATAAATGTATAGAGAATGCTTATTTATTAAATGTTCCTTTTTTTCCCCTCCACCCTCCCTTTTTAGTGACGGGTCAGTCTTACGAGAATATGGTAACTGAGATCATGTCAATGGGCTATGAACGAGAGCAAGTAATTGCAGCCCTGAGAGCCAGTTTCAACAACCCTGACAGAGCAGTGGAGTATCTTTTAATGGTGAGAAATATGTTTTACTTTACTCCATTCTGTTGTTTAAGATTAAAATCTCAAAGAAACAGATTTTAAAGGACCAGTTCACTTGTCACTGATATATGCTAGATGATATACATAATGCTTTTTTTTTTCTAGTATGTTTGTATTTTGTGTTAATAAAATGTAACCTTTTTTAATCTAATGGTCCAACATTGTAGTAGCTTTTTAGGTGCCACTATGCGTGAATTATTCAGAACAAAAATTTCTTTTTTCTTTTTTTTTTTTTTTTTTTTGAGACGGAGTCTCGCTCTGTCGCCCAGACTGGAGTGCAGTGGCATGATCTCTGCTCACCACAAGCTCCACCTCCCAGGTTCACGCCTTTCTCCTGCCTCAGCCTCCTAAGTAGCTGGGACCACAGGCGCCTGCCACCATGCTCGGCTAATTTTTTTGTATTTTTAGTAAGATGGGATTTCACCATGTTAGCCAGGATGGTCTTGATCTCCTGACCTCGTGATCCGCCCGCCTCAGCCTCCCAAAGTGCTGGGATTACAGGTGTGAGCCACCGTGCCTGGCCAAAATTTCAAGCTTGAGAATCCGGGCCAAATTCTTTTGCTTATACTGTGTATATTTCTGTAATAAGTTGCCAGCTTTTTAAAAACTGGGAAATTTCACATAAAAGTACAGATTTCTGGTTTAACTGGACAACTTTGATCCCAGATTTTTGCAAGGGATTAAGGAAAATATTTTAGATCGTGGAATCTAATTCATTATCCTCTGATTCACTCTGTTACCAACGTAACATCATGCATTTAATGAATGATGTTACTACCTGGTTCCGTTGGCATTTGAATTTGTTTTTATAGTCAGTAGGAGTTGAGGGACTTTTTGAATAAAGTATTCTTTTTTTTACTGGTAATGGGAGTTTTTGAGAAATAGGTTGTTGTGGACATCAACTGAAACCCTTGGTATTAAGATGAAAGTCTGCTAGTTTTACAGATGTGACACAGGCTAAAGTAATTGAATTAAGTTTTTTAAAATCTCAGACTTCTATAATTGTCTGGTGTTTTGGAGTATTATCAAAGTCTGAATTGCCCTAAATATCATCTTAAAGTTGCCTGATTCTAACCCTTTTGGGAATTACATCCACAGTTTAACCCATTCCTTTGTGTCTAGGTTGTACTTCTGTTAAAAACTCCTTTCAGGTAGCTAGCTAGTTTCAGAAGAGTCAGTTATAAGCCTCATAACTGTACTCTGCCTCCACCATTTATTTGCCTATGCCTTTGCATGTGAAGTTCACAAAACCTTTTTCTTAGCATATTATTTTATCTTTTTAAATTCACTTTTTCATTATCTTCTTGAGTAGTGTCTTTAAATGCTGGCAGTTTATCCAGTTTGTTTGGAATTGTGGAATTAATAATTGTTGTGAATTTGTTTGGTGAGGAGTGTGTACCCTAAACAGATTGTATAAAAGTATTAGCTTTTATGGAGTGGCTTTCATTTACACCTGATTTAGAATTCTGTATAAGTTCAACAGTATCAGTTATTTTGATCTAATAGATGTGGAGTTTTGAGGTATAAAAATACAGAATCATTGTTACCAAATGCTAAAACTGCTGTAGAGCATCAAATGCAAATAAATAGATGATACATGAGTTCATCAAAAACAATTTATAACTAAAATGTTTTTTATATATTTGCTCTTTGTTTCATAGACTGAAGGGGAAAAGTTGCTTTTAACTGTTACTAGTTAAGAGATAGGTTAAGGTGAACGGATGGAAAGAAGAAATGTTGAGCATTTATATAAGAGGCTATGTAATGTGTGAGAATAGAGGTCGATCTATAGCAATAAAGATGAACTTTTTAGTTTAATAAAAGAGAATTTGATGGACGCCCTGGATCCTAAATTTGTATGTAGTTTGTTAGCACTTAAATAACTGCCCATCTGAGTTAAGGGTTTGCGTTGGTTAACTCATTCAAAAACATTGGTTTTAATGCCTGGAGTGACATCTAATCCATGCAGCCATTTTCCTGCTGTGTTACTCTTCATCCTTTATATGTTGTTGCTTTTGGCTTCTGGTTTATTAGGGAATGGAAGCATTTATCATCTTATTCAATTGTAATACTTGGTTCTTTATTCTCTTCAAAATCTATAAGAACTTGATAAAGACTTTTTAAAAATTTTAAATGACAAGTCTATCAATCATGTGCATCAAAATAGGTGTCCCAAAAGAGTTTAGTGCATGCAGTTTTAAGCTCTTAATAACTTTAAAAGATAAGTACTATAAACTTACAAAAGGCATCACCTAAAAACTAAATGGTTTCAATTTCTTTTATATCGATTTTATGAATTTTGAAAAATTAAATTTTTTGAGATACTTTATCTCATTTTTTGAGATACTTTAAGTATCTCATTTATGAGATACTTTAAGTATCTCATTTATGAGATACTTTGACACTTTAAGAAACACTTCACTGAAAAGTACCTCAAATTTATGAGATACTTTCTGAGTGACACTTTCTCAGTACCATGGATCAGTAGGGGAGATCCTCCTGCCTGGCCACTGTGTACCTGGTCTGTATCCATTAGATATTTTTTCCCCCAGGAGTCATTTCAGAACTGTCAAGTGTGCATCAAAACCTCTTTTTGGATTATCTTAAGCTAGAGTTGCAAACTCAATCCTTTTTATCACTGAGTAACAGCTGATAAAGATTTCTAAGAAGTTAAAAAGTCAACTGAACTAATAGGTAGCACAAAAACCTTTGGTTGTGTTCAGTTTTAAGAAGGTACATGTATCAATATTTTTCAAATTTGATGCTAATTACGTGTGCCTGGTAGGTGTCTTATTGAACAACACAGAGAATATTTCCATCATCATGGTAAGTTCTGTTGGACAGTGCTGCTTTGCATTATTATAGCAATGTGGGTTTTTCTATAATGCACCCAGGTCATTTCTAATCTAATTTGAATCCATGCAGCTTAATAATCCTTTACTTTTAATTGAAGCAGACATCTGTTTGATGCTTTTGAAAATCAAACAAGATGTTAAATAGACTATAAATCTTTTACTCTGTATAATATTTAATTTTGCATGATGGGATATCTTAAAGCTTGGAAATTCTATTACAGGGAATCCCTGGAGATAGAGAAAGTCAGGCTGTGGTTGACCCCCCTCAAGCAGCTAGTACTGGGGCTCCTCAGTCTTCAGCAGTGGCTGCAGCTGCAGCAACTACGACAGCAACAACTACAACAACAAGTTCTGGAGGTAAAGCGGAATCTTCTGGATGGGGAGGGAATGGCCCTGAATTTTTAGTGTAAAATAATTTAACCTGAAATACTTCAGAAATGACGTTCATTCCCAGAGCAGTCGAATAATTCGTTAAGTTCTCTCTTCACTAATGTTTGAGAAAGGCCCAAAAGAAACTTTCCCAAGTGGATGTAAAAGGTATCCTTGCTGATATTAAACATCAGTGTTGCAGTTTTGCCGAAGGGCATATTCTGTTTTATTTGTTTTAAGGAAAAGATGCTTTCCAGTTTGTATTTAGTGTTACTTTCTGATGCCATTCAGAATGGTTTGCTCACTTTGTCTCTTACTCTCTCCATAAATGTTACAAAGTGTATGTAATTTCAAAGCCAGCAGGATTTTAGTAATTATACAGCCAAGGAAATGAAACCGTGAGAGGTTTAAAACCTTGTATCTAGAGGAGAAAGCAAAGCTTGAATTGAAGTCTCTTTACTGGGGTGCTGACCATACCCCACACATTGCTATAGGTCTGACTACAGAGCAAAGCCTGGAACCTGCGGTCAGCTTAGGAATTACGCAGTGTTCTCCTTCGTTCGTTCTTCTGTATATTAATAAAGTAATTTAAACTGTTGATCTTGAAAAGGCCATTCTTCCATGCATTTCCTAGCTCTGATAATGATAGTCACCTCTGGTTGACAAAGGTCACTCAGTGCTTTGTGTACAGTCTCCCAAGGACAGGCCCTTTGTTTGTTGTGATTCAGCATATGGGAGTGGAAAGAGATGACCACAGCTCTGCTTTGGATTTGGGGTCCTGTTCCTTTCAGCACTTATTAGGTGACATAGTCTCTAAGTCTCGTTGCCTTCACCTGTAAAGCTGGTATTATATATGGAAGAACAAAAAACCCATGTGCTGTGGTCATTTCAATTGGAATGATTGTCTTCCTGAATAGGAAATTACAACATACATCTAAAAATTCTCTTTTATTCATTAGTAACCTCAAAAACAATTCCTGTATGTACGATTTTTGGTTTCCTATAGCATAACCAGACAAGTACCAGCACCCTGAAAAAGCCAGAAGTTCTGTATTTTATATTTTATTTGGCATTATTAACATTTATTATTGTGAATGGATTTTAGACTGAAGAGTTTAGATATATTAGTACTAGATTGCCATACAGCTTATTTATCCGAGTTTTTGTAGTTCACAAATGTTTGAAAATTAATGGTAATAACCGGAAGTCTTCCTTAATGTAAGTTTGGATTAAAGTTTCTCCTGATTTGCAAAACCTGACCTCAGACTTTAAATATCTTTTTCTTCTTTGGTTTCTTGAATTCCTAGGAATTCAAGCTCAGATTGTGTTCTTTTAGGGGTTTTCATTGTTTATAAAGTAAGTGAGTTTTTGTTTTTGTTGTGGTGTATATTTTTCTTAGGAACTTTTAAGCAACAGGAACAACTTTTAGTACTTTTTATTTTGATAGAACACACACAGGAGACAAGTTTCTAGTATTATTTTATAACGTTGAGTGCCAAGGGCAATTATAGGAAAGTTTGGTTCATATTACAGTCAGCGTTCTGCACTCCCTGCCTTTGCTAATAGGAGTAATTTTTGCCGTATAAAACTTGCAAGTTGGTACAGTTGGAAGATTTCATCATTATTTACTTCATTTTATTACATCTGAGAACTCAAATCATTTTTTCTTTGATAGTGTTTGCTGTCTAAATGTATTATTTAACCACTGTTTGTGTATGTATTTACTGCTTTTGTTTAGAAATGTTTATGTGTATTTTAGGACATCCCCTTGAATTTTTACGGAATCAGCCTCAGTTTCAACAGATGAGACAAATTATTCAGCAGAATCCTTCCTTGCTTCCAGCGTTACTACAGCAGATAGGTCGAGAGAATCCTCAATTACTTCAGGTGACTAATCAGTGTCAGTTTCACAAGTGATTTAGAGTGTGTCACAATTTGAAAAAGTCCATGAACGGTCCTTCCCCTCCTCAAATACAACTCTGTATTTGAGAATGTGAATGTTTTCTTCCAAGCTACACTTAGATATTGTAATCTAGATAGGTGTACTAAAAAAACAGTTGGGATATGGAGGTTGGGTTAAATTAAGTTGACCAAATAGTAGTAAGTTTGGGAAACATTTTATATTTCCTTTTTGGAGATTCCCACTACACATTAATATGTTAAAGAATTTGGGAAGCTGTTTAACAGAGAAACTGCCTAACTTTAAATCACTTTTCACAAGCTTATTACTCAGTTCCTTTTTCTTAGGAACTTTTAAGCAACAGGAACAACTTACTCTTAGAAAAAATAGCTGTGGGGCTTCTTTAGTGATCAGATCACCAAGTATTTGAATTTTATACAGCATTTTAATGCCCACTAGTGTGGAAGGTAAAAAATACATGCAAGTATTAAGAATAAGTTCTATTCTTATAGTCCCACAGTAGTTTTTTTTGTTTGTTTTTTGTTTGTTTTGTTTTTTTAAGCACAGGAGGCTCAGAGCACTTAAGAATTTGAATTTCTTCACTGTTTACTTTGCCCAAAAGTACTGAATTTCTTTACTATTGTATAAGAAATCACATCCTTCCAAAGACTGAATAATCCAGAATCACTAAATTACGTTTGCAAAAGTGTAGCCTTTTCTCTTAGTAATATTTAGAATTTCTCTGTTCCTGCAGATACTTAATATCAGTGTATTATTTTTCTCTGTCCTTCATATCACCACAGCAAATTAGCCAACACCAGGAGCATTTTATTCAGATGTTAAATGAACCAGTTCAAGAAGCTGGTGGTCAAGGAGGAGGAGGTGGAGGTGGCAGTGGAGGAATTGCAGAAGCTGGAAGTGGTCATATGAACTACATTCAAGTAACACCTCAGGAAAAAGAAGCTATAGAAAGGGTGAGTTTAAGTAAAACTTTAAAAAAATTAGTTCTTGGCTGGGCTCATGCCTGTAATTCCAGCACTTTGGGAGGCCAAGGCAGGTGGATCACCTGAGGTCAGGAGTTCAAGACCAGCCTGGCCAACGTGGTGAAACCCCATCTCTACTAAAAATACAAAAATTAGCTGGCGTGGTGGCACATACCTGTAATCTCAGCTACTTGGGAGGCTGAGGCAGGAGAATTGCTTGGACCTGGGAGGTGGAGGTTGCTGTGAGCCGAGATTGTGCCACTGCACTCCAGCCTGGGCAACAGAGTGAGACTCTGTCTCAAAAAAAAAAAAAAAAAAAAAAAAAAAATTCCTTAGTCACACTAGCCCCATTTCAAATGCTCAGAAGTCACATATTAATAATAAGGTTTTTCTATAATTTCTTTCAATAGTGTCCTGTAGTTTTCAGTGTAGAAGTTGTGTAATACTTTTGTTAAAATTATTTCGAAGTATTTTTATTCTTTTTGATGCTGTTATAAATGGATTTTTCTCTTAATTTCATTTTCAGACTGTTCATTGCTAACTATATAAAAATACAATTTAATTGTGTATATTGATCTTTTATCATAAAACCTTCTTGAACTGTTATTTATTCATTAAGTAGTTTGTGCATGTGTTCATTAGGATTTTCCATATACAAGGTCATGTCATCTGCACATGGAGACAGTTTTACTTCTTTTCCAATATGGATACCTTTTATTTCTTTGTCTTATTTAACTGCCCTATCTGGAGCCTCCAGTATATTATTAGACTAGCAAGAACCAACAACATCCTTGTCTGGTTCTTGATCTTAAGGGAAAGCATTCAGTCTTTCATCACTAAGTATGATATTATCTATGGGTTTTTTGTGGATGCCCTTTATCAGATTGAAGAAATTCTCTTCTGTTACTAGTTTGTTCATCACGAAAAGGTGTTGGATTTTGTCAAATTTTTTTTCTTTCTTTATTAAGATGATCATGTGATTTTTGTCCTTTAGTATGCTTTATTACATTGATTGATTTTGTATGTTGAACCAACCTTGCATTTCTGAGATAAATTTTACTGGTTACAGCATATGATCTTTTTTATATGTTGCTGGATTTAGCCTGCTTGTATTTTGTTGAGGATTTTTGCATCTGTTCATAAGTCATATTGGTCTGTAGTTTTTTTGTGATGTTTTTGTCTGAATTTGGTGTCTGGGTAATACTGGCCTCTTAGGGTGAGTTGGGAATTATTCTCTCCTGTTGTCTGGAAGTATTTATTAAGAATTGGTGTGGGCTAACACGGTGAAACCCCGTCTCTACTAAAAATACAAAAAAAATTAGCCAGGCGTGATGGTGGGCGCCTGTAGTCCCAGCTACTCGGGAGACTGAGGCAGGAGAATGGCGTGAACCCGGGAGGCGGAGCTTGCAGTGAGCCGAGATTGCGCCACTGCACTCCCGCCTGGGCCACAGAGCGAGACTCTGTCTCAAAAAAAAAAAAAAAAAAGAATTGGTGTGAATTTTTTGAATAGTTGATAGAATTCACCAGTAGTCTGGTCCTGGGCTTTTTTTGGGGGGAAGTTTTGTGATTATTGATTCAGTCTCTTGTTACTTGTCTATTCAACTTTTGTATTTCTTTTTTTTTTTTTTTTTTTTTTTTGAGACAGAGTCTCGCTCTGTTGCCCAGGCTGGATTGCAGTGGCGTGATCTCCGCTCATTGCAAGCTCCACCTCCTGGGTTCACACCATTCTCCTGCCTCAGCCTCCCGAGTAGCTGGGACCACAGGCACCCGCCACCATGCCCGGCTAATTTTGTTTTGTATTTTTTTAGTAGAGACGGGGTTTCAACATGTTAGCCAGGGATGGTCTCGATCTCATGACTTCGTGATCCACCCGCCTCGGCCTCCTAAAGTGCTGGGATTACAGGCGTGAGCCACTGCACCCGGCCAACTTTTCTATTTCTTTTAGAGTCAGTTTTGGTGGTTTTTGACTTGGAATTTGTCTATTTTATCTAAGCTGTCTAATTTGTTGGCGTGCAATTGTACATATTTCCTTATAATCATTTTATTTCCTCTTTTGATAAAGTAATAATGTTCCTGCATTTATTCCTGATTTCAGTCATTTGAGTCCTAAGATATTTTTGTTTTTTCCCTTCAGTTTAGCTAAAGGTTTTAATTTTGTTCATTTTGTGGTGGTTGTTGTTAATGACAAAAATAACTTTGGGTTTTGTTGATTCTCCCTATTGTTTTTCTAGTCTTTTGTTTTGTTTTGTTTTAAGTCTCTCTAATGTTTATTTCCCTCTTGCTTGCTTCTAGTTTGTTCTTCCTTTTTTAGGTTAGGTTTAGTTTAGTTCTTTGTTTAGTTTTAGTTTAAGATTAAATTATTATCTATCTTTGTTAGCATAGATGTTTATAGCTATAATATTCCTTCTGCGTTTATGCTATAGTAGCATCCCATAAGTTTTAGTATGTTGTATTTTTGCTTTCTTTCATCTCAAAATGTTTTTTAATTTCCCATTTGGTTTCTAATTTAATTCATTCGTTATTTAGGATTGTGTTAATTTCCACAAGTTTATGAATTTCCCACATTTTCTCCTTTCGATTTCTAAATTCATTCCATTATAATCAGAGAATATACTTTCAATACTTTTCAACTTATTGAGGTTCGTTTTGTGGCCTAACATGGTATTTCTGAAGAATGTTCTATGTATACTGAAGAAGAATATAGTGTAGTTCTTATTAAGTGGTCTATAAATATCTGATAGATCTAGTTTGTAGTCAAGTCTTCTTCCTTAGCTGTTTTATCTATTATTGAAGGTGGAGCTGTAGTTGTCTCTATTATTGTTAATTGCCAATTTCTACCTTTAATTCTCAGTTTTTATTTTATGTATTTTGTGGCTCTGTTATATATAATTGTTGTGTCTTCCTGAACCCTTTTTATCATAAAATGCCTTTTGTCTATAGTAACAATTTTTATCTTAAATCTGTTTCCTCTGATATAGCCATTCTAGCTCTTTTTTGGTTACCATTTGCATAGTATATACCTTTTTCTATCATTTTACTTTCAACCTACTTGTGTCTTTGAATCTAAATTGTGTGTTTTGTAGAAGCAGGCAGTTGGATTGTACCCTTTACTTCACCTATCCTAGCTTTAATCTGGATAAAACCCAGATAACAAACTGATTTTTTAGTTTCTTCTGCTTTCATAGATGAATAGTTATTCGTGATGAATTGGGATTTTTGCCCAAATTTTAAGGGTTATTTCCAAATATAATCTGACACAGCAGTCTTTAACCTTTTTGGCACCAGGGACCAGTTACGTAGAAGACCTTTTTTTCTACCAACATAGGTGGGGTGGGCGCAGTGATTTTGGGATGAAACTGTTCCACCTCCGATCATCAGGCGTTAGTTAGGTTAGGAAGTGGGGTGGGGCGGTGGTTTTGGGATGAAACTGTTTCATCTCACATCATCAGGCATTTGTTAGGCTATCATACGGAGCACAGACCCTAGATCCCTCTCATGCACAGTTCACAGTAGGGTTCATGCTCATATGAGAATCTAATGCCGCCACTGATACAACAGGAGACGGAGCTCAGGTGGTAATTCGAGTGATGGGGAGTGGCTGTAAATACAGATGAAGCTTCACTTGTTCGCCCACTGCTCACCTCCTCCCGTGCGGCCCAGTTCCTTGCTCACCCACTGCTCACCTGCTCCTGGGCAGCCCAGTTCCTAACAGGCCAATGGCTGGTGCCAGTTCACGGTCTTGGGGTTTGGGACCTGTGATCTAACTCAAGGTGATTGAGACAATTGAGGAGGGTGACATTTGGCTGAGTTTTTAAAGGCTTTTAAAAGGAGTGAGTATTGTCACAAGTGATTTTTAATATAATAGACTAGGAAAATGAAATTAAGTAGCTGGTATTACCATTTAAAATGCTGTAACTGTTAAGCAGATAAAAATAGAACATTATCTTCAAAATGTACCATGTATTACTAATAATTGGTCACCTGTTTTTCTAGTATGGAGTGTTGAATAAAGCAAGGAGATTGAGAGTGATGTTTGATCCAAATGAAAGACATGAGTTGACATTAATAAATAAAACATAATTTGCTTTTAATTTAGAAATAGGTGAGGTGGTTAAACTATACTGCAGGTACTCTCATCCTTATCTTCACTCTTAATATACTAAAAGCCATTTGATTTACATATTTCTGTAGAGTCATTTATTTTTAAACCATAGCAGTTAGCAGCTAATTTTTAATTAGGCCAAAGAGTATTTGCATAGTATCTATTAAGCTTTAACTAGAAACAAAGACTTTTTTAGGTGATTAGTAAAGGAAAGGGTCTAGATTCCATCTAATCCCTTGGGTTGGGCAGTAAATCCATATTGATAGAGATGAATTCATGTAAAATTCTCAAGAGCTTTTTTGGGTTGCAGTATGTTTTTGAGTAATGATTTATCTTTAGTGCTATGCTGGAATCTATAATATGTAAATAAAATTAAATGTGCCATAATTGGTGTGTTGGATTTATATTTTTTTCCTTTTTCTTCCAGTTAAAGGCATTAGGATTTCCTGAAGGACTTGTGATACAAGCGTATTTTGCTTGTGAGAAGAATGAGAATTTGGCTGCCAATTTTCTTCTACAGCAGAACTTTGATGAAGATTGAAAGGGACTTTTTTATATCTCACACTTCACACCAGTGCATTACACTAACTTGTTCACTGGATTGTCTGGGATGACTTGGGCTCATATCCACAATACTTGGTATAAGGTAGTAGATTGTTGGGGGTGGGGAGGGAGGGATCTAGGATACAGGGCAGGGATAAATACAGTGCATGTCTGCTTCAATTAGCAGATGCCGCAACTCCACACAGTGTGTAAAATATATACAACCAAAAATCAGCTTTTGCAGGTCTTTATTTCTTCTGTAAAACAGTAGGTAACTTTTCCTAGGTTTCACTCTTTTTAGTGTACTAGATCCAGAAACTTAGTGTAATGCCCTGCTTTATATTTCTTTGACTTAACATTGGTTTCAGAAAGAATCTTAGCTACCTAGAATTTACAGTCTCTGTTTCATGGCAACACTGGATAATGGCTTTGTGAAATTTAAAAAATTTTTGTAGCGACTGTAAACAGAAATGCCAAATTGATGGTTAATTGTTGCTGCTTCAAAAATAAGTATAAAATTAATATGTAAGGAAGCCCATTCTTTCATGTTAAATACTTGGGGTGGGAGGGGAGAAAGGGAACCTTTTCTTAAAATGAAAATAATTACTGCTATTTTAAAATTTCTTGATCATTGAATGTGAGACCCTTCTAACATGATTTGAGAAGCTGTACAAGTATAGGCAGAGTTATTTTCCTGTTTACATTTTTTTTTTGTTTTGGGGAAAAAATTGGTAGGTGTCTAATTACTGTTTACTTCATTGTTATATTGCAGTAAAAGTTTTAAAACAACCATTGCATGTTTGCTTTTGATGTATCCCTTTGTGAAATTAGCACTTTTGGGGCCAATGGAGAAATGCAGCATTCACTCTCCCTGTCTTTTCCCCTTCCCTCAGCAGAAACGTGTTTATCAGCAAGTCGTGAGTCAAACTGCTGCCTTTTAAAAAACCCACAAAATGCTGATTCAGTTCAAAATTAATGCAAATGTTTCAAAACTGGGTTTCTGATATTTGTAAATGTGTTTCTTTATTAGATAAGAGTGTATTACCATTAAAGTCATTAGTATAATATTGCTTTCAAAAAGAAATGGTAGACAAAACTATAATCCAGCATCTTTTATTGCATTGGAAAGACTGGCAAAGTCTTTTGGATGGGTTGGGAGATGTGGCTGGAAAGTACTTTGGAAAATATACAATCAAGATATCTCATGGCATATTAAAAGAAAAATCTTAATAGCAGTGTTGGCTTTTATTTGGATTTTTTCATCTCAGTTTTTTCTGTGGAATCTCCTTCATTGGCATTGTTATTTAATCATAAACGGGGCAGATGTCTACTTGTTCAGTTTTTCAAATCTGTTTTCCTGAGTATAAATAAGAGTATTTAAAGAAATAATTTGGATTGCTTTTGTTTTTTGTTTCCTTTTTTTTAACCATCTGATACTAAGAAGATGAATTTGCACAGATTTCTCTGCATAATTTCTCAATATCTTTAGCACAGTATGGTGATGATGACTTTTAAGCATTTACATCACGTACTCATAACCTATTATGAAAATAAATGAAACTGGCTGGGTATGGTGGCTCATGCCTATAATCCCAGCACTTTGGGAGGCCGAGGTGGGCAGATCACTTGAGGCCAGGAGATTGAGACCAGCCTGACCGTCATGGCGAAACCCCGTCTATACTAAAAATACAAAAAATAGCCAGGCATGGTGGCGCACGCCTGTGGTCCCAGCTACTTGGGAGGCTGAGGCATGAGAATTGCTTGAACCCGGGAAGTGAAGGTTGCCGTGAGCTGAGATCACACCACTGCCATAAACATGACAGGCTTTTGGACTTTGTATTACCTGTATGTTTTATAATGGATCATGCATAATTTCTCAGGAGAATAAAATGAGAATTCATATATACGTTCATCTTTCAAGTCAGAGCAATGAGTTGGGAAAAGAGGTGGCATTTCTGATCGGATAATGGAATACTCTCATTTATTTTATGACATTCTCTGTCTACTCAGATCATAGTGAAAACTGGAAACAAAAAAAAAAAACAGCCTCTTCTTGGAAAGTGACAGCAGAAGGTGGCATGGAGCTTGTGTCCTTGGACAACAAATCTGGATATACTAGGATTAATTATCAGAAGACAGCTCAGGCCAAGTTTTGATCGTTCCATACAGTACCTTGTTTATCTGCTTCTTAAAGAATCAGCCGAGACACCATAAAAGAAATAGGCTTTTTGTGCCTTTTGCTGTTAATGTTTAATTTACAAACTGTTTTGGTAAATCTCTTAATGTAAGTAGCTATTTGACTTTGGAATTTTGCATTCGAGGTATACTGTCATTTCTTGAAATCTTTTTCTCGTTTAGTTGCTCTGTGGGAAATGTGAGGAAGCCTAAGTTTGTATTTGTAAATTTCTTATGCCATCCTCTAGTCAAATTTTTTTTCATTGTTTAAAAATACGGAAGTGTTCCAATATAATTTTTTCCTGTACTGGATGGCTAGGATTCTAGAGAATTGATTATAAAATATTTTCAATACATCCAACATTGCACTTCTCATTTTTTAAATGATTCTGTCACGTAGAATCAGAATTGAAAGTTGACAATGCTTCTGTCACTGATACTTCTTTTTACTTCAGTAATTGGTGAGTGTATCATATAGGAGGCCCAGGCACTAGATTGACTTTATTGGGTCTCCTGGTTCTTTTCTCAACACAGAGATGGGATACTTGCTGGGATGTTAAGGTTAGTGAGGTCTTCTAGGGAATGCATAAAATTTCCATTGTTCCATACTTGTCTGAAGCAGCCAGCCAAAGCCTGCTGCAAAATGTTCTACCGAAAGTAAGCAATTGGAGGGAATGAGTGTTCCTGACCCAGTCAGTTCTGGTGGATTCTCCAGCCATGAAGTTCAGTTGGCCTCCCCCATCCATTTTCCCCATTTTTTCCCCCTAAGCCAAGGGCTGGCAAACTACAGCTTCATGAGCCAAATCTGGCATATACCTGTTATGTGGTCCATGAACTAAGAGTGATCTTTACATTTTTAAATGGTTTCAATTGTATATGTTTTTTATCACCTCAAAAGTTTCAACTTACATTTCAGTGTCCTTAAAAGTGTTATTGAAACACAGCCATCCTCATTTGTTTACATATTGTCTATAGCTACTTTTGTGCTACAGAAGTTTGCTGTTGGATAGCTGCAGCAGACTGTGGCCTGCAAAGCCTAAATAATCACTATCTGGCCCTTTACAGCAAAGGTTTGGTACCCCTGTTGAAAACTGACTAGTCTACCCTAAGTTATATGATGCTTTTTAATTCCTCTCCTGACATTCTTGGACTCTTGACTTCAGGTCTTAGCTGTAGTCTGGCTTCCATGTGACTGTCACAGATCTTTCCAGAGGAGTGATATAACCCCTATTATCCACTCACAAAGAAAAGGAACATTGTGAGCCTGGTGTGCTGGCCTAGTGGTGTCTAAGTTACTCTTGGATGTTGCTACACTGTTTCTTATTCTTACATTAGGATAATGAAGTCCATCACCACGTTGTCAAAAGCACCTGGCAAAGTGTGACAAGTCAACCAGAAAACAAAAGCCCGATGAAAGCATCTGGAAATTCTTATGCCCTGGGATTGGAGTTGGGGCAACTGGAGGAAGCATCTTAACTGCAGCTGGAAGAAGAGAGTGGGTGGAACCTTAGAGGGAGAAGTTGCAGCAATTGGACCTGTTTTGGTGGGTGGGTGGGTAGCTTCCAGAACTGTGTACTTTGTGGATGGGAGGATGGAAAGGGGAGTGATGAGTCTGAGTGAAGGCTTGGACTTGCTAGGAAAAAGATACTGCATTGTCAGTAACATTTGGGGAACTGCAAGAACAGTTACAAGTTGGTTGTAAAGAGCCTTCACTGGGATGAAGTTAGATTTAGAAAGCAGTGGTACCTCATGTAGGGTTTTCACTGTGGAGAGGAGGCTGGGAGGACCAAAGAAATGGACGACAAGTTTGCTTCATGTGTGGTATGGTGCTTCGGATACCAACATGGTCTCTGCCATTGAACTTGATGTACTGTGACAGTGGCCATTTTAATAGTAATGGATCCTTTACAGATCTAACCTAATTGTCTTCCACGAGCACAAATTAGAAAACAGTCATCCCAGACTTCTGCTTCATGTCTTAGTCATACTTAATTTTCCATTCTTGTTGCCTTTGACTTAACGCACTCCTCATCTTCCTATTCCAGAGCTTCCTAACTCGGCTTGCGATAGGTGTAGATGTTTAGAGATGGTGATTTTCCTCAGCCCATGAGGTCGTCTTCAAGGCAGCTGGGGAACCTGGGCTCTAGCCCCAGGCAACCTCATCTGTTTTCCCAGCGTGTTATACAAGTGCCGTGTTTATCGTGTTGAAAAGATCCGGAAGCTCTCTCCTACATATCTGTTAGCTTTCTAGATGAGCTTTGCGTAAGTCATGGTTCTCCAGAAAAAAACAAACGGAGATTTATTATGGAAGTAGACTCATCTGATTATGGAGACCTAGCAGTTCTACAGTATGCTGTCTGCAAGCTGGAGAACCAGGAGAGGAACTGGTGTAGTTCAGTAAGATCAGAGGCCTGAGATGGCCAAGGGTGGGGTCAGTTGCACTGGTGTAAGGCCCATGGTACCCAGAAAAGGAGAAAGTGGACGTTCCAGCTCAAGAGCAAATTGACTCTTCCTCTGCCTTTTCGTTTGGGCCTTCAACAGAATGGATGACACCCACCTGCATTGGTGAGGGTGGGCATCATCCAGTAGATGTACTCTGGTCTACTGATTGAAATGCTAAACTCTTCTGGAAACACCCTCACCTACACACCAGAAATACCATTTTACCAGCTATCTAGGTATCCCTTCACCCAATCAGGTTGACACAAAACCATCACAGGCTTCTCAGCTGTAAATGGCCCTCCACACTTCAGTGTGCTGACCAGGACTGCAACTGCCGATTGGGTTGCCACCTCAGGCTCTTGGGATGTTTTATATGGATAACTGGATTTGGATGTTGACAGCTTCCACCTCTGTAAGTCCAAAATTGTTTTAAAACTGCTTTTGTTTGGCTGCACAATTGTACAAGCCATATGGGTTTTGTTTGCACACAATAGCAGATTTGAGCACAATAATATTGCTTCAAAATTCATTGAAATTTTGTTGAGAATATTTGGTGGTGGGACTATGTCTTAGAACAGCTTGAGGGTTCAGTTTTTTGTTTATTGAATGATTTTATGGACCCTGGAGTGATTCTTGCAGCTTAACATTTAAGTTCATTGTAGGCGTTTTTTTGTTGTTATTTTTTGTATAGGGAGCTGTCAATTAGGTCTGCTTCTGCTTAACAGCATTTTGACTATAATTTTTATATTGTCTTCGATTCTAAGGAACTTGCAAAGTTAAACTGCTTTTTAACCAGTTTGTTACTACTTAATTGTAAAATATTTTCAGTCATATCTTTAAGTGTTGTAATTCAAGATGGTTTTATAATTTTTATACCATATTTGCATTTTTGCAAAGAGCACTGGCAGTTTCTTCATACTTACACAATTTCACACTTGCAGAAAAAGTTGCAGGAGCAGCACCAGAGCTCCCACATACCCCACCACCACCTTAGAGAACCTTATAAAATTTTACACTTGTACCAACATTGTCCTCCAAGCAAAAGGGCCTGATCCAGGTTAACACACTGTGTTTAACTGCGTTTAATGAATCTCCAGTTCACTTTCTCAGTCCCTCTCCCTCCTTGATCTTTATGACCTTAACATTTTTTGAAGACTGTAGGATAGTTGTCTTATAAAATGTCCCTCAATGTATGTTTGGTGTTTCCTCATTACTACCCTTGGTATGCGTGTTTGGAGGAAACAGAAGTGCTGTTGTGCCCTTCTAGCTGCACCCCATAAGGTGACACAGGGTGTCAATTTGTCCCATCATTGGTGGTGGTCACTTGGACCCTGAGGCAGGTGGTGTCAGCCAGTCTCCCCTGGAAAGTTACTCTTTGTCCCTTTGTATTGGATAAATATTTTATAGGGAGATATTTTGAGCCTTCGTAAATATCCTATTTCTCATCAAAGTTTGGCCCATTCTTTTTAGTATTATTGTTTCTTGCCTACTGTAATGGTTTCCAAGTGGTGATTTTCAAATTCCTTCTACTTTATTAGTTAACATTGTCCTGTATTCTTACTCTTTTTCCCCCCATTTATTAGTCGTATCTGTATGGTCTTTGATTCCTATTTTATTCGATGGTACATAATCCCTTACCATCATTACTTTGATGTTGGAATTGTCCCGAGTTCTGTGATTGTGTGTTTTCTTTTTTTTAGTAGAGACAGGGTTTCACCATATTGGCCAGGCTGGTCCCGAACTCCTGAGCTCAAATGATCCGCCTGCCTCGGCCTCCCAAAGTGCTGGGATTACAGGCGTGAGCCCACTGCACCTGGCTGATTGTGTGTTTTCTTAAAGCTGGCTTCTGTGTTTCGACATGCCATTACCCTCTGAGTACTTCCCTACTTTCTGGCACAGTAATGTATTCCAGGCTCTTGCATTTCCTGTGCCCTAGTCCTGGAATCGGCTATTTATCAAGGAGCTCTAGCTCCCCTTAATGTAGACTGTATTTAGAAAGCAAACCCTTGCTCTAGGCGTGCTCACTGCTATTAGAGTCTCACTGCTCCCAAGCCGTCTAAGTGTGTCCACACAGTAAATACATCCTTACATTTACATTTGATACATAGACACTGAAAAGGGAGTTCACTCTGGTACCATTAATTCTGATCCAATGCCATAAGGTTCAGGCTGGGCGCGGTGGCTGAAGCCTGTAATCCCAGCACTTTGGGAAGCCAAGGTGGGCGGATCGCTGGAGTCCAGGAGTTCAAGGCCAGCCTGGGCAACTTGGTGAAACCCTGTCTCTACGAAAAATACAAAAATTAGCCAGGTATGGTGGTGCATGCCTGTGGTCCCAACTACTTGGGGGTGCTGAGGTGGGAGGATCGCTTGAGCCCAGGAGGTTGAGGCTCCAGTGAGCCGAGATCACGGCACTGCACTCCAGCCTGGGTGACGGGGAGACCCTGTTTCAAAAAATAAAAATGCCATAAGCTTCATTCTATCTTCTCCCTTCCCATATTTCAGACTCCTTCCAGGGCAGTGAGAAACTTGGCTCCCATTATCCTCAGTATAATTTCACCTTCCCTGAAGGTAACCAGCGCCCAGCAGCACTCTGCTCCCTTTCTTGTGCTGAGCTGCCACTCGGCTTGGCCACTTTCCTGCACAGCCGAGGCATTCATATTTGAAGTGGACTTGGAAATGGAAGTGAAATGTCTTTAGATTTCCTAGTGTAGCACTCCTATGATGGAGCTTCTAGGAAAGCTCAGCTACATGGGAAAGGAAGGGCCTTATTTGTTCTGCTCTAGTTGCTGTTCCACTGGAAGGTTACCACCTGCTTGGAGTTTAGGACCAGTGTGTTTCAGGTGCTGCTTGTGGTGAGAGACAGGGTTGGTGGTTAGGGGAAAAAGCAGCCCCACAGGCTAGGCTGGTAGTGCAACCCGCACCCTGGCATTGTGCCCTCCTCTCTGTCCTGGTGCATGTTGCTGTTCTGATTCATGCGTCCCGTGAACAAGGAGCAATTGCTATGTGGTTTGGAATTTTTCCCACCTCCTTTATGTTGCTAATTTTTTTTATATACAAAATATGGCCCCTCTTCCAGGAAGCCTTCCCGTGACCCCCTTTTCCCCTCTAATTTGGGCCAGGAACTCCTCTGGGTTCCCTCAGCTGCTTCTAAGTATCTGCCATAAAAGTGAACACCCTGAACTGGGATTATCTGCATTTGGTGTATCACTGAAGGTACTGAACGAGAGAAAACTGGTGAGCTCTCTCAAATTCAGGGCTGTGCCTTTCATCTCTGTATCCCCAGAACCTGGTGAAGGGCTGGACCAAAGACCAAAGGAGATGCTGAGGCATCATTGGATGGATAAACAGACAATGAACAATAGTTGGGATGCCTTTTGTCATCTTTCTTGTGGCCCTAAGCTCCTCTTTACCTTTTCCGGAACCCTTCGGTTCTGAAAGTGGCCTAAGATGGTCAATGAACAGTGCCTCAAAGGCAGCTCTGTTTTTCCTTCCTCAGCTCCAAAGACTTTTCCACCAGGTTCTGAAAGACTTGACACATAATGCAGTGAGCTGGCTGGTGGTGGAGACTGCAGGGTTCTACTGACCAGTTCCAGATGGGCATGCATTCTGAGACTTAGTTGGAGAGCACACTGACAGCTGCACTCCCAGAAAGCCTGTGCTGAGGCCAGGTCTGAGGGCCTGGGTTTGAACTTGGAGTCCGTCGGGCCCCAATTGTTATCTTCACAGCCACATCAGCTGGGTGACCTCAGCCAAATCAGTCTACCTCTGCTCTTGTTTTCTCATCTGCAAAATAGAGCTGCGGATGCCTGCCCCAGGTTGCTGGTGGAGATCAAGTGAGAGAGTGGATTGAAAACATCTTTACAAAGGCCAGGTTTGGTTTTGGATGTGGGTGCCAACTGCCTACCCTGAAGTCAAAGACCGTCTGGGAAGAGAAGTTCTCTTTGCCTTTCTCCCACGACGAGCGTGTTGCTGAGTTATTTCCAGGAGCGTGGGGTGAGCCTCTTTGATCTCAGGGTGCCATTGCCTTCCCTGCCTCACTGTGATCGGCTCAGCGTTCCCAAGCGGCCAGGGCGCTTCCCACTCAGCTGGGCAGCACCGCCCAAGCATTTGGCATTTGGGGAACAGAAAGTTTTTATTTTTATGAGCTGTTTCTGAGCAATGCCTTGTTTTCTCCTGTCTGTTTCTAGGCCACAGGATTGGCAGCTGCATCCAACCTCCAGGTCAAATTTGGCAGAGAACCAAGCAATCCTGTCAAACAGAATGCCCACTGCTGCTCCTTCCCATCTCGAGGAACTGTCTCTTCTCAATGTTTTCTTTTGATTTCCTCTGACAGTCTTGCTGCTCTTCCAGAGGCACAGGAACTCAAAATTGGGAAGGGTTTGAAGGTGACCCCCACGATCAAGTGCAGTGCCTCCCGCACGCGTGACTTCCAGCCTCCACATGCACACTTCCAATAACTGCACACACACCCTCCAGCTCAGGCCTCTTGGATTTCAGACACTCCAGTGGTTGAAGGGTCGCTATGTTAGGATCTCTGATCTTCCTCTCTAACCAGGCTATCCTCAGGTTCTAGTTCACTTCTGGGGGTCACCCTGAGCCAATGTAACCCCTCTTTCCTGTGTCAATCCTTTAGGTCTTTGAGAAGAGTGGTTGCGTTTTCTCTGACCGTGTCCCACCCTCTGGCCAAGCCTTCAGCTGAAAAGAGTCCCTCAGTTGGGGCGAGTGTATTGAGTCCTTCATTCAGATGAACCCGATACTTCAGGAGGGGCTGAGCAATAGGCACTACAGGGGAGCCCTCACCTCCCTTGTTCTGTGCATAATACCTCTATTAATACAGCCTAAATTTGGTCTTGCTGATTTGGCAGCCACATCACACTGTGCCCTTAGACTAAGTGACTGTGCTAATAATACACCAGACTTTTCAAGGTGTCTGTGCCTTTGGGGGTCATGTCTGACACATGTTATAGAAGCAGAAACAGCCTACTAAACAAATACTGCTGTTTTCATAAAGTTATGTTCTGGACCAAGAAAATTGAGCTATCATTTACAAGTCCAGTGTCTCACCCTGTGCTAAGTGCTCGTATGAGGCACTTTTGCAATTTTACAAATGGGATAACTGAGGTCAGTCAGGGTAGAGCTACACAGCTACCAAGTGACAGCCAGGTGGCAAACCTAAGTTGATTGATTCCGAAGTCACCCTAAGTGACACTGCCTCCCTATAGCCCCTGCTCCTTCACATTCCCTGAGCCAGTCTCTATCCCGCCTGTGATTTCTTTCTCTCTCTGCTGTTTTGACAGTTATTTGTTCCTCTGGTGATTTGCCTGGTTATTGCTAGACCAGCAGTTCTTAACATGCAGTATGAGGACTATTTTCAGGGGATGGTTATATGAAATCAAAACTTTTTTTTTTTTTTTTTTTTTTTTTTTGAGTCAGAGTCTTGCTCTGTCACCCAGGCTAGAGTGCAGTGACATGATCTTGGCTCATGGCAACCTCTGCCTCCCGGGTTCAAGTGATTTTCCTGCCTTAATAGCCCAAGTAGCTGCAATTACAGATGCCTGCCACCACATCTGGCTAATTTTTTTTTTTTTTTTTTTTAGTAGAGATGGGGTTCCACCATGTTGATCAGGCTGGCCTTGAACTCCTGACCTCAAGTGATCTGCCTGCCTTGGCCTCCCAAAACTGCTGGGATTATAAGCGTCAAAATTATTTTCATAAAAACACTAGTCCGGGCACGGTGGCTCACGCCTGTAATCCCAGCACTTTGGGAAGCCGAGGCTGGCGGATCACCTGAGGTCAGGAGTTGAAGACCAGCCTGACCAACATGGAGAAACCCCATCTCTACTAAAAATACAAAATTAGCCGGGCATGGTGGCACAGGCCTGTAATCCCAGCTACTCGGGAGGCTGAGGCAGGAGAATCACTTGAACCCGGGAGGCAGAGGTTGCAGTTAACCGAGATCGTGCCACTCTACTCCACCCCGGGCAACAGAGCGAGACTCTATCTCAAAAAAACAAAAACAAAAACAAAATCTTCTGGGTTTCTCAATTTTTAAGAGGGAAAAGGGCATAAGACCAAAAAACTTGAGAACTGCCGTGTTAGGTGATGGTTCTCTGTTAGATGTGTTAGATGACTCAGAAAAGAGTACCTGGGAAGGCCACTGGGGCACTGGTGAAGTGTCCCCTCTTGTCTGCTGGAGACATGGTTGGAAGCTTACATACCTGGTGCTGTGTGATGCTTCTCCGCCATTCTGCTCTCCATTCCTGCTTTCAGGAAAACAAACTCTAAACTCCCTGCTTGGCTTTCAGCGTACTTGCTCCAATTTACACCTTCAGTCTGGTCTCCCTCCCTCCCCACCGCATTCAACAGGGCTTCGTTACCCTGGCTTTTTCCACCCCTCTATGCATTTGCCCTCTGGTGTGCTCTGCCTAGAAACTCTCCCCTATTCCTCTCTCCTCAGTAGGCCAACGTTTAAAACCCACTTCAACGTGGCCAGGCGCGGTGGCTCACGCCTGTAATCCCAGCACTTTGGGAGGCCGAGACGGGCAGATCACGAGGTCAGGAGTTCGAGACCAGCCTGGCCAACATGGTGAAACCCCCGTCTCTACTATTAGCTGGGCATGGTGGCAGCGCCTGTGGTCCCAGCTACTCGGGAGGCTGAGGCAGGAGAATCGCTTGAAACCAAACAACGTTACAGGCTCTGTGAAGGCTTTCCTGCCCCAGAGTCAGCAGAGGATTGTTCCCTTGTTCCACTCCCTGAACATGTGGTACACAAACGGTGCGTATCTGACCATAGCTATTGATTTGCACATTTGTTTCATGGACATTGGTCTCAAAACCAAAAGCAAAACTGGCCTTGTCGGCAGTAGTGGGAGTTCAGCACCTATAGCTGACAAGGGAACTAAAAGGAAGTTTGCTTGAAGTCTTTGAAGGATAGAGGGTGGGAGAGGAGGGAGAGTCTGTCTCACATTGTAGGGAGGAAGTAAAACAAAAAGTCCAAGTGAGTGATGGAAAAAGCCAGGACCTGACATGCAGCAGGCTGAACACCTGGAGGGCAAGTGCTGTCTGCCATGCGCCGGCACGCCCCCTTGTGGTGAGGGAGAGCCGTGTAGTTTCAGGGGAGGAGCACAAAGTGGGAAAGACCCAGCATCCGTGGGTCGCTGAAAAGCTGTGGGAAATCGGGTCGCTGGAGGAAGGGAAGACGCTGGTCTAGAGACCCAGCTCATACTTGCCTCTATTGCCGAAACTACAGGGGAAAGAGGAAGAGAACTAAACCCCTATAACTTCAGGTACCAAGAGCTCTATCTGCATTGACTCAGGCCATTCTAAGAAGTGTCAGGCCCGGGCCTGGTGGCTCACGCCTGTAATCCCAGCACTTTGAGAGGCCGAGGTGGGCGGATCACCTGAGGTCAGGAGTTTGAGACCAGCCTGACCAACATGGAGAAAACCCGTCTCTACTAAAAATACAAAATTAGCTGGGTATGGTGGCTCGTGCCTGTAATCCCAGCTACTCGGGAGACTGAGGTAGGAGAATCACTTGAACCCTGGAGGCGGAAGTTGCGGTGAGCCGAGGTCACGCCATTGCACTCCAGCCTGGGCAACACACACACACACACACACACACACACACACACACACACAAATGCCATGCAGAGGAGGAAACTGAGGTTTAGAGAGGGTGAGCTATGTGCCCAGATTCTCATAACTAGAACATAGCCCAGGGAGGTTGGGGACTCACTTGGCTCCAGGCCTTCTCTGAGCCCATTTAGACCAATTTTTTTTTTTTTGTCTATACAAATATTAGGGTTGGGGGGACAGTGGGCTTTTCTTCAGATATCTGAGATAGCTTGAACTTTTACCCTTCTAAGCCATGGCTGGAGGAAGAGGCACAGGGAAAACTGATAGGATCTGGAGTCAGATGAGTGGGTTTTTTCTTTTTCAAGTTTATTTTGCCGTAAATGCAGCGGAGTAGGGATAGGGAAGTCTGTCCCTTTAGAATAATCAATCCTTCAAAATAATAATCACCTTCAAAAGCCATCCAAACAAAGACAAGTGCTCTGTGAGGCATCCATAGGTCATGGCAGGATCCCCTATCTGGCCTGTGATACCACCTGAAGCTCCCCGTCTCCTCTGTCTAGCCCTGAGCCAGTCCAGGTGCTATCTTCCAGCTGGAGCAATGGCCATTCTTAAGCCAGAGGTCCCTGCAGCCCCTGGGCAGGGGAGGTGTCTGGGGAAAAAGTGAACCAAGAATCTTTCCAAAAGGCTATTCTTTCTTGTGGCCTGGAATGCCTTTCGGCCTCTTGTATCCCTTTCTATGGGACTTTACAAAGCTCGTAATCTCAAGCTACACAATGCAACTTTGAGCAATGATGGATTTGCAATAACCCCAGAAAAGCTGGCTTAGGCCTCATAGATTTCTCAGTTAGCTTGGAACTCACACACATACAAATGGCTATTAGCCTGTTTCAGGGCCCAGGGAAAGATGGCTGGCCTCCAGACCTTTCCATATATCCCTCTAGGGTCTCTCTGGATACTTCTTCCCCTTCTATTCCCATTCAGCCTTCTAGACTCAGCCCTTATTCCTCATCCCAGATATTCCTTCTTCCCCAGGCTTTGCCACTGGGTGCCACTGGATCAGGGGCCTCCCATGACCCTCTCACTGGACCAAGGGACTCTCATGAACACCTTCACCACCTGACACTGGACCGGGGGTCTCCTGTGACATCCCTCACGCCCCCACTGGATCAGGAGTCTCCCATGGACTCTGCTGTCAATACTTGCCCTCGACGCAAAGCATTGCCTCTGTCTGATTTTTTTCTTTTTTTTTTTCCATCATGACAGTGTGAACTCCTGGAGGGCAGGCCTGTATGTTTTTCTTCTGGATGTCCTTACTACCTGGCACCTAGTAGGTGCTCAATACATTTTGGTTGAATAAATGAATCAGTGACAAGGAGTTTCAAGCCTCAGATTAATAATCACCTCCATAAAGCCTTCCCTGGTGCTTCCCTACCACAATGAAAAAAAAAATTACAAGTGAATGGCTTTTATTTTCAAAACGTTTGTTTTTCTTTTCTTTTTTTCTTTCTTTCTTTCTTTTTTTTTTTTTTTGAGAGGGTGTTTCGCTTTTGTTTCCCAGGCTGGAGTGCAATGGCGTGATCTCAGCTCACCACAGCCTCCGCCTCCCAGGTTCAAGTGATTCTCCTGCCTCTGCCTTCCTGAGTAGCTGGGATTACAGGCATGTGCCACCACGCCCTGCTAATTTTGTATTTTTAGTAGAGATGGGGTTTCTCCATGTTGGTCAGGCTGGTCTCAAACTCTCGACCTCAGGTGATCCTCCCACCTCGGCCTCCCAAAGTGCTGGGATTATAGGTGTGAGCCACCGTGCCCAGCTTTTTTTTTTCCTTAACCAATAAATTCATGTCATATGTTTTCAAAATTTCTACAGCAGAGTGATATGGATTCTGGCCATGGCTCTGATATTGTTGTTGTATGTCTGTAAGCCCAGTTTTCTCATCTAGAAAATGGAGATGTTTATAATCATCCTTCAATAATCTGATGAGCAAGACTTTACCAGGTATGACAGCAACTGTTATCTGGCACACTAGTCACTGCTTAATGCAAGTATGTCCATGTATTTAGCCCGCCATGTTGTCATTGCTCATTTACCACGTTTTCCCTTATAGTGGGGCTCCTCGTGGCTTCTTTTCCCACCCTGGGCTTGGCTATAGTTTGTTCATGGAATTTAATGACTTTTCTGCCTTACCAAAGATTTTCCGAGCACTTAATATTCACTGAACCCTTAAGACAAAGACCAACACTTGATACCCCCTTGGGCCAGCAGAGAGAATAATGAATAAGGCAGGACCCCAGTCCTCCAAAAGGATCACCATCTGGGAGGGGGCCCACAGAACAGTCAACTATAAGATTCCCGAGGAAATTCAGAGGTTAGAATGTGGGAGGGGCTCTTCCAAAACCTCCAGGGCCTGAGTCTGGGACTGAGGAGTGAGGAAGGTATGGATATTGTTGGAAAAGAGGAGTCCTGAGACAGCCCCCACTTTTGCAAGAACTAGCTCCTGTTTGGCTGCTACTTCTCAGCCAGCTGGAGATGGTAGAAACCCAGCCCCATAGATTCCTGGCCCCCCAGATTTTGGTGCAGGTACAGCCACCTTCTTTGGGCATGACAAACATTTCCAGGTATCTGCCATTGCTGCTTCATCCAGGAGCTCTGTCCTGGGCTGACTACTCAAATAACAGACCTCCATTGGGTTGACTATTGTCTCCATATTCATTTGTTGAATTTGTGCTATTGATTCACTTATTCATTCATTCATGTAATATTCGTTGAGCACTAACTGCCAGACCAAGTACTAGACTGAGAACATGGACTAAGAGCTCCAAACCCTGTCCCAAGGAGTTCTGTGACAGATAAAGCTTTCCAATGCCATGAGAAGTGCTATAGCAGATTCATGATCATCATAAAGATGGGACCTACAAGGTAATTGACAAGAAATCAAGGAAAGCTTCATGGAGCAGGGCATATGTGAGCTGGGCTGCAAAGGTTTTCTGAGTTCACACAACAAGAGAAGTGAGAGGAAAGGTACCCCAGGCTGAGGAAACAGCTTTCGCAAAGGCACAGGTGCAAAAAAGAACCAAGCAAAGTGGGGAATGAGGAGATTGTTGGTGTGGCTCAGACACTGGTCTAGAGGGTAGGAGATTAAGTTAGGACAGAGCCAAATTTACAAGGGGCTTAAATGCCATATTGGAGGCTCAGCCTTGAACTCAGGGTCAGTTGATAATCAACTGGGTTCCATAGACAGGCTCCAAAGCCTTCTTTATTAAGCCAACAAATATTTCACATAACACCCAGTGCATGCCAGGCACAAGGAGGAGGCTCAACACGAGGGGTTCCAGGCCACTTGTCTCTAAAGCTACATTTTAATGTTTTACATTTGGGGCTTCTGCATGTGAATCTATTCTAGAAAAAAGAGGTGTATTAGCTAAAAAGAAACCAAAACAAGCAAAAGTCTGCAGCCAATTGCTTCCTCGGAGAGCCATTGCAGGTTTTGTTTTTTCTTGGAGAGGGGTAGTGTTATATGTTTGTTTTTAGCAGAGGACAGGTGTGTTTAGATCTATTTTCAAAGGATAAAGATAATTATGAGGCTTCCCAGCCCTCCCCTGCAACCATAGTACAGGAAGCAGGAAGCTCACTGAAGCGGGGGCTGTTTCTCTGAGTCCTGAGCTCAGGACTGGTTCTCTCTACCCTGCTGGGTGCTCCCTAGGGAAGCCAACAATGTGGCGTCATGGGTTCCAAAAGGAAATATCAGTTTCTTCTGGGAAGGAACTTGACCTCCTTTGAGGCTGGGAGCATGAAGCCAGGGAAATCAAAACACCATCCCATTCTTTTTTCCTTCATGGGAAAGAAAGCCAGCTCTGAAGATAGCCTCTTGGTGGGGAAAGAGCTCTCAATCTTTGAAATAACTCAAATCTGAGTTCAAATCCTCCTTTGGCCCACTTAGCTATGTGATCTTAGACAACTTCCTCAAGTTTTCCCAGCCTCAGTATGTTCATCTGTGATGATAATTATTGCTTACACCTACCTTCTTACCAGTTATTAAAACATATTACAAAGCCAGAGCCAAAAAAGCAGCACATGACAAAGCAAACAAATGGCACAAAATAGAAAATCCTAAAACAGATCTATGATTATCCTAGAACTTGATAGGTGATAGACATGCTATCAAGAATCAGTGGGCAAGCCGGGCACGGTGGCTCATGCCTGTAATCCCAGCACTTTGGGAGGCCGAGGCGGGTGGATCACTTGAGGTCAGGGGTTTGAGACCAGCCTGGCCAACATGATGAAACCCCGTCTCTACTGAAAATACAAAAATTAGCTGGGCATGGTGGCACATGCCTGTAATCCCAGCTACTCAGTAGGCTGAGGCAGGAGAATCACTTGAACCCAGGAGGTGGAGGTTGCAGTGAGCCAAGATCGTGTCACTGTACTGCAGCCTATGCCAGAGAGTGAGACTCCGTCACACACACACACACACACACACACACAAAAAAAAAAAAAAAAAAAAAGAGGAAGAAGAAGAAGAATCAGTGGGCAGAGGGTGGAATGTTTAATAAATGGAGTTGGGAAACTGGCTCCTATCTGGAAAAAAAAATCTTGTGTGTCTGAGTGTGTGTATGTGTGTGTTTAGTTATCTTTGGTTGACTGAAGATCTGAATGTAAAAGGTAAACCTATAAAAATTCATAAATAGACTATGAAAATTATAGGCTGGTGCAGTGGCTCAAGCCTGTAATCCCAGCACTTTGGGAGGCCGAGGCGAGTGGATCACCTGGGGTCAGGAGTTCGAGACCAGCCTGGCCAACATGGTGAAACCCCATCTCTACTAAAGATGCAAAAATTAGTCAGGTGCAGTGGTGAGTGCCTGTAATCCCAGCTACTAGGGAGGCTGAGGCAGGAGAATTTCTTGAACCTGGGAGGCGGAGGGGTTGCAGTGAGCCGAGATCGTGCTACTGCACTCCAGCCTGGGTGATAGAATAAGACCCTGTCTCAAGCAAGCAAGCAAGCAAGCAAGCAAGCAAGCAAGCAGGCAGGCAGGCAGGCAAGGAAGGGAGGGAGGGAGGGAGGGAGGGAGGGAGGGAAGGGAGGAAGGAGGAAGGAAGGAAGGAAAAGACCCTGTCTCTGGAAAGAAAGTGAGAGATAGAGAGGAAGAAGAAAAGAAGAAGGAGAAAGAAAGAAAAAAAGAGAGAAAGAAAAAGAAAAGAGAAAAGAAAAGAAAGGAAGGAAAGAAAGAAAGATTATTGGCCAGGCACAGTGGCTCACGCCTGTAATTCCAGCCCTTTGGGAGGCCAAGGCAGGCGGATCACGAGGTCAGGAGATCGAGACCATCCTGGCAAACACGGTGAAACTCCGTCTCTACTAAATATACAAAAAAATTAGCCAGGCGTGGTGGCGGGCGCCTGTAGTCCCAGCTACTCGGGAGGCTGAGGCAGGAGAATGGCATGAACCTGGGAGGCGGAGCTTGCAGTGAGCCAAGATCATGCCACTGCACTCCAGCCTGGGCTGACAGAGCAAGACTCCGTCTCAAAAAAAAAAAAAAAAAAAAAAAAAAAAAAAAAAAAAGATTATTGAACCTCAGAGTAGGTAACAATTTTTTAAAGGAAATCTCAAAGTGGGGAGGTGAGATGGAGGAGGGCCCTGGGGGAACACAGGCTGCCATGCAGAGAGGGGCCTCTATATGAAGCTTGCTCACCTGTCTTTGTTGTTAACCACTGTATTAAGTCTTGAGCTTCTAGTTAGGCTCTTTCCCCACTTCCTTCTGTAGAAGATGAAAGTTTCTTCGCCTGCAATTAAAGAAGCCCTCTAGCTTCCATTTCTGCCTTTCCATTACTTGTTACTAGCTTTTGCTATTCACTATCTTTCTGTAGGGACATCAGTGGTGTTTAGCAATGGCCATCCGGTGCTGTTACCTTCATAGCTACTATCCCAACTCCCAACCCCCAAGTTCAAGTGCCTGATACATTCACTGACTGCCAGCCCACTCCAGCCACAGGTACACTAGCCAGTTCACCATGGTGGGAAGCCACTGTGTGCACAGGCTTTCCTGTATTCCACCTGCCATGAGGCTGGGGTCCTCCTTGCCAGCTGAGAGGCGAGTAACCCAGCTCCCAAGCTCCATCTAGTCACCAGCTTTCTTGGACTATTCCCAGCAACAACTGCTGCGGATAAGGTTCTTGGAAAGAAAACACTCAGATGGGATGTTTATTACGGATCAACACCTGTGAAGGGATTGGGTGGAGGAAGAAGCCAACTGCCATGAGGACTTGACAAAGCCTCCACCAGGCCATAGGGAGACCTGGAGCAAGCTCTGCCTGGCAGAGCTGTCCTACACCTGGCAGAAGTGGCTGGGCCTTCATACTCGACCCGCCAGCCCCCACCACTCAGTCAGCAGGTATGGCTCCCCCAGGAAGCACAAGAGTTCAGGCAGGACTTCTGTCTGCAACTGGGCCACAAGTCCTTCCATGAAGAGGGGCCTGAATGGTGGTCTCCATGTCTATCACCACCTCTGACAGCAGTTTGAAGACTGTGTGAATAGTAACAATGGCGAACATCTATTGAGCATTTGCTGTGCTGGGCAAGGCTAAATGCTGTTCAAACTCCAAGGCAGGGGCCATTACTACCGCCATATTTGTGGCTCCAGATGAAGAAGCTAAGTAATGCACACGAAGAGAGTGTAAATGACTCACAGAGTGTGTGATGAATTTCCATTTCAGAGAATTTTTTAATTATTGGAATAAAACTTTTTTGGAATAATTTTCCATTTTCAGAAAAAGTTGCAAAGATAATGTAGAGTTCCTGTGTACCTCTCACCCAATTTCCCCTCATGTTAACAGTACACAACCATGGTCCATTCATCACACTAGAACATGACTGTTAGCTAGACTGCAGACTTTATTTGGGTTTCCACTCATGTCCTTTTACTGTTCTAAAATCAAACCCAAGATGTTACCTTTTATTTAGTATCCCAGAGACGTGGACTCTCAGGTGTAAACTTTTGACCTGTCTTCATTACCACCTGCTGTTCCCACATAAACCATTCAGGTGCCTGCTCGCTGCCTCAGGTGTTCGTGGGCAGCCCCAGAATGTGCCCTGCTGGCTGACTAGGTCACTGTTTAATCTGTGAATGTTTCCTTTATGCTGGCATGTGGGAAAAACTCCCACCAGGCCCAACTCAGCAACGTGCTGGTGTTTACTTGGCCCAGCAGGCATTTCCTGGGCCTCTGCTGTGTGCATGGAGACAGGTGCTGTATGAAAGTACCTATGGCTGCTTCAGGTCGACCCTCCTCTCCAGGAGCTGCTAGCCAGCATGCAGCTTCTCTCACCTGCCCATCACCTGTGCTCACTGGCAAGCAGGTTTGGCTTGAGTCAAAGAGGAATTAAGAAAGTGAATCCCTGCTCTCGCCCCCACATCACTGAGCTACCTTGCAGAACTCAAATATGCCCGTTGCGTCTGCTCTGGGTCCTAAGCCCCTGGGGCTCTCTGTGCCTCAGTTGCCTCATCTGCAACATCTACTTTATAGAGTTCTGGTGAAGATGAAGGTAATGAATAGGTGCAAAAACATTTAGAACAGTACAATACGCGGCATGGATAAGCTCTCAGTAATTAATAGTTATTATTACCTAGCTCAGATGGATGTTTAGAGAGAATCAAATGAGATTATTATCGTAAAGGTACATTGTAAATGGCAAGCCTTGCTAAAAAAATGTTAGCACAAACTTTTTTAAAACCACAGTCATGTGTGGCTTAACAATGGGAATACATTCTGTGAAATGCATCATTAGGCAATGTTGAACACCATAGAAGGTACTTAGACAAACCTAGATGGTATAGCTTACTACACACCTATGCTAAACGGTATAGCCTGTGGTCCCTGGGCTGCAGACCTGTACAGCATGTTATTGTACTATAGGTAACTGTAATACAATGGCATTTGTATATCTAAACATAGTTAAACAAAGAAAACATCATGCATTGCACTACAATATTATGACAGCTATGACATCACTAGGTGATAGGAATTTCTCAACTCCGTTATAATCTTATGGGACCATTGTATACATTGTCTGTCATTAATCGAAACATCATTATGTGGCACATGACTGTACTTTATAGTGTTAGGAGACACAAGTAGTCCATAGAAAATTATTATCTGTGTAGGTTTCATTACCATGGCCAAGTACAACTGAAAAATGGATGAGCTCATAAAGTCTACAACCCTTTATGGAACCTTTATTAAGTGCTGCCCATCATTTTAGGCATGTGTACTCGTATTTTCTCATTTACTAATCACAAGCAAACTGTGGGGTGGCTATTTTTAACCACACTTAATGGCTGTCTAAACTAAGGTTCTAATATATTCCATTCCTCAAGAGGCAGGAATCAGCCTCAATCAGTCAATGTATCTTGAAAGCCTCCCACGTGCAGACATTTCCAGGTGCTGAGGAGTAAACACAATAGACTCTGCCCTAAATGAACCTGCATTCTGGTGGGAGACACACTGAACATGGGAATGAGTGTGCCAGTCATTTGCCCGTCTGTTCTCAGATCTTTCCCTAGCCTTCCCTTTTTCTGGTTGGTATCACAGAGGTGGCCTCCCTTGCACACTAGGCTCCCTTGCCAACTGACTTTAAGTTTGTCCAATGGATGTACTAGAAAGAGTAAAAGGAAGGGAGAAGTCAGAGTATTCCCCCCTCCTCCCACCCTCCATCTGCCCACCACCTTTCTTTGCTTTAGGTGATGTCTGAGGCAGGGGCTGCATCTCCTCCCTTGCTCTAGCTTCTGCTGGACAGCTCCACCTCATGGTCCAGCTTCCTTCATCAGACCCAGTGATTCCAGCTTTCCTGGATAGTGTCATTTCCTTGCCTCCTCTTTTGTTCCTCCAATTCTCAGGGTAGGATGCTTTCCTTCAGTTGGAGTGCACATTTTCAGTTTGCTCTTCTAGCACCTTGCTACTAATTGCCTATATTAAGTCCTTCCTGTTGAATTACCTGAAGTGGGCTTTATTTTCCTGCTAGACCCAGAATGAGACCACAAATGAATAAGAGAATCTCAGACAATGACAAGTGCTTTGAAGATCACAAAATGGGGTGGGTGGGGAGCATCTTTAGTTAGGATGACCAGGAAAGAGGGGTCTTCTCTGAAAAGTGACTTTTGAGTTAAAATCTGGAGGATGAGAAGGTGGCAGCCCTGTGACAATCTGTAGAAAGAGTGTTGGAAATAGGAAGAGCAGTGAACACAGGGGCACTGAGCTAGGGATAAACTTGGTGTGTTCAAGAGGCAGAAATGAAAAGGAGGTGAGATTATCCCTAAGTAACTCTAATACCAGAGTGACTTCATACTATAGCAGGAGTATCTAACACCATAGAAGGTTCAGGGGAATGCTGCCAAGGAAGAACAGGTGCCAGAGTTCAGATGGAGGTGCTGCTACTTCTTCTTTTTTTGAGATGGAGTCTCCCTCTGTCACTCAGCATGGACTGCAGCAGCACGATCTCAGATCATTGCAACCTCCACCTCCTGGGCTCAAGCAATTCTCCTGCCTCAGCCTCCCAAGTAGCTGGGATTACAGGCATGAATGCGCCACCATGCCCAGTTAATTTTTGTATTTTTAGTAGAGACAGCATTTTATCATGTTGGCCAGGCTGGTCTAGAACTCCTGAACCTTAAGTGATTCACCTGCCTTGGCCTCCCAAAGTGCTGGAAATATAGGCGTGAGACACCGCGCCCGGCCAGAGGGACTGTTACTTCTAACAAGGGGTGATGGGGAGAGGCTTGGGCTCCAGCACAGCAGGAACAGATAGGAAACTTCCTGAAATGCTGATAAGCCTTAAAAAAGAGTTTGAGTGAAATAGGTGCACATGAGAGTTAAGACAGAAGCCCCACAGTTAGCAAAGAAGTGGAGGCAAGACTGTGGGATGTGTGCTCACAGAGGGAGGATGGGCTTGTCTGAAGGGGAAGGTGTGAGTCAGCAGGACAGAGGCAGGTCTTTCCTGATTCAGGGGAGCCAGGAGCACTGGCCTGACTTACTGGGCAAGTTTCTTTTGATGACAGTGCCTCAGCTTTTCCCTTCACTAATCAGGAAGAAAAACACCCACTGTTGGCTCTCCAGCATACTGTCTCCTTTTGTTGACAGCACAACAAAAATCAGCTGAGCACCTGCAGCTGGGCTAGAGGTGCTGGTGCCCATCCGGGTCTTCCCAGGACATGACTACCATTGTCAAGGCAGGGATATCAATATGGAGGGCACTCTCAAATAACTGGAGCCGTCATCTGAACAGCTGATGTCTTGAGCTCCCAAGGGCCCGCAGAAGTTGTAGAAAAGTAGCTCCTTCTGTTTTGGACTTTTTCACTGCATGTGCTTCTTCCAAGGACCTAGACGTATTTGTTTCCCAGAGGACCACAAAGTGGGCGACTTAAACAATAGAGCATTTTTTAAACTTCTGTTTTACATTCAGGGGTACATGTGCAGGTTTACTATGTAAGTAAAATCGTGTCACGAGGATTTGTTGTACAGATTATTTCATCACCCGGGTAGCAAGCCTCGTACCCGGTAGTTATTTTTCCTGCTCCTCTCCCTCCTTCCACCCTCCACCCTCAAGCAGACCCCAGTGTCTGTTGTTCCCTTCTTTGCGTTCACAAGTTTTCATCATTTAGCTCTCACCTACTTATAAGCGAGAACATACAGTATTTGATCTTCTGTTCCTGCGTTAGTTTGCTTAGGATAATGGCCTCCAGCTCCACCCATGTTCCCGTAAAAGATGTGATCTCTTTCTTTTTTATGGCTGCATAATATTTCATGGTCTATGTGTATCACATTTTCTTTATCCAGTCTATCATTGATGGGCATTTAGGTTGATTGCATGTCTTTGCTACTGTGAATAGTGCTGCAATAAACATACATGTGCATGTGTCTCTATGGTAGAACAATTTATATTCCTTTGGGTATATGCCCCGTAGTGGGGTTGCTGGATCAGATCAAATGGTAGTTCTATTTTTAGTTCTTTGAGGAATTGCCACACTGCTTCCCACAATGGTTGAACTAATTTACACTCTCACCAAAAGTGTATAAGTGTTCCTTTTTCTCCGCAACCTTGCCAGCATCTGTTATTTTTTGACTTTTTAATAATAGCCATTCTGACTGGTATGATATTGTATCTTATTGTGGTTTTGATTTGCATTTCTCTAATAATCAGTGATGGTGAGCTTTTTTTCATATGCTTGTTTACTGCATGTATGTCTTCTCTTGAGAAGTGTCTGTTCATGTCCTTTGCCCACTTTTTAACGGGGCTGTTTGTTTTGTAAATTTGTTTAAGCTCCTTATAGATGCTGGATATTAGACCTTTGTCAGATGCATAGTTTGCAAACATTTTCTCCCATTCTGTAGGTGGTCTGTTTACTCTTAATAGTTTCTTTTGCTATGAAGAAGCTCTTAAGTTTGATTAGATCCCATTTGTCAATTTTTGCTTTTGTTGGGATTGCCTTTGGTGTCTTCATTACGAAATCTTTGCTTGTTTTTATGTCCAGGATGGTCTTGCCTAGGTTGTCTTCCAGGGTTTTTACAGTTTTCAGTTTTGCATTTAAGTCTTTCATCCATCTTGAGCTGTTTTTTGTATATGGTGTAAGGAAGGGGTCCAGTTTAAATTTTCTGCATATGGCTAGCCAGTTATCCCACCACCATTGATTGAATAGGAAATCCTTTCTCCATCGTTTGTCTTTTTCAGATTTGTCAAAGTTCATATAGTTGTAAGTGTGCAGTCTCATTTCTGGGTTCTGTATTCTGTTCCATTTTTATATGTGTCTGGTTTGTGCCAGTGCCATGTTGTTTTGGTTATTGTAGCCCTGTAGTATAGTTTGAAGTCAGGTAATGTGATGCCTCCAGCTTTGTTCCTTTTGTTTAGTATAACCTTGGCTATTCAGGCTCTTTTTTGGTTCCATATAAATTTTAAAATATGTGAAGAATATCATTGGTAATCTGACAGGAATAGCATTGAATCTGTAAATAGCTTTGGGCAGTAAGGCCATTTTAATGATATTGATTTCTTCCTATCTGTGAGCACGGAATGTTTTTCCATTTTTTTGTGTCATCTCTGATTTCTTTGAGCAGTATTTTGTAATTCTCATTGTAGAGATTTTTCACCTTCCCAGGAAGCTCCTGAGTCTCTCTGGTAAATAGATCCTAGAAGGGTCAAATTAGAGAAACCTCCCTTTCCCTCCAAGTCTGAATCCTAGATTAAGCATTCTTCAGCCTCATGCTGGAGTCCCACCACCCAAGTTTTCCAGGAGAGGTGGTAGACTTCTTTCTCTACTCCAAAGCATTTTCTTAACTTCTGTCTGTGGTCAGCAGATAGATAGTTTGCCACCAACAAGGCTGGAAAACAGAATCTTAGGGCTGCAAGGCCCTTAGATGTCATTTAGTCCAACTTTGCCTTTCAGAAATGGGAAACAGAGGTCCCAAACTGGAGAGTGACTTCCACTCTTAGGATGGCATTGGGAAAATGCAACCTCACTGGTGGTTGCCACCCTTGGGTTGGTAGTGGTGCCGCCCTTGGGTTGAAATAATTGTATCAGGTAAACTCAGGTGCTGCCTACCACGACTGGTGAATAACTCACCCAAACTCCAAGAAAAGGGAATGTGTTTTCCTGACTGCTGTATCCTTGAGACACCAAGCAAGGAGTCAGTACATTCAGTGAATGATCCTTTGGTCAGAGTGGAACCATGCATGGAGTAGGCACCCAACAAATGTGTTAAATGAATGAGCAGCTCCTTTTCCTTCCCAGAGAAACCAATGGAATGAGCCACTTGTCAAAGTCAAAGAGAGTCCAAAGTTGGTGAAGAAAGGCTGGATGAGACTGCCTTTTTGGATGTAGAGACCCAAGCTCCCCAGTGGGGGACTGCTTGGACAAAAGAGGAGCTTATTGACTTATGTGTTCAATGGGGAGAGCGGAAGACTCAGGACCGCCAGGCTGGGAACCTGAGTGCCTCCAGAGGTCCTTCCTCTTCTCACTGTTGTTTCCAATGCCTCAACCTGGATTTCTCCCCAAAGGAAGCTCCTGGCTACTGGTAACTCCCCAGCTAACATTATCCCAGCTTCCTGTTGAGAACAAGCGTTCTCCCTGTAGCTTCTCAATTTGTTGCCCACGAGAACCTGCCTGTAACCCAGCCTACCAGGCAATGTTCTAAAATCTGGATTATTAATATATTCACTCATTTAACCCCCAGGAGAAGGATTTAAGGTGTGTATTTTCATTACCATCATGATAGTTAATCCTATGTGTCAACTTGGCTGAGCCATGGTGCCCAGATATTTGGTCAAACACTATTCTGGACGTTTCTGTGAAGGTGCTTTTTGGATGAGAATAACATTTTAAAAGACGTACTTTGAGTAAAGCAGGCCAAGTGTGGTGGCTCATGCCTGCAATCACAGCACTTTGTGAGAGGCTGAGGTGGGAGGATTGTTTGAGCCCAGGACCTCAAGACCAGCCTGGGCAGTACAGTGAGTCCTTGACTCTACAAAATTTTTTTAAAATTTGCTGGGCATGGTGATGCTGGCCTGTAGTCCCAGCTACTCGGGAGGCTGAGGCAGGAGGATCACTTGAGCCCAGGAGTTTCAAGACTACAGTGAGCTGTACTCGTGCCACTGCACTCCAGCCTAGACAACGAAGTGAGACTCTAGCTCAAAAAATAAAATTAAGGAAGGAAAAATAAATAAAATATTGAGTAAAGCACATGACTGTCCATAATATGGGTGGGCCTCATCCAACCAGTTGAAGGCCTGAACAGAACAAAGATTGACCTTCCCTGAGCAAGAAGGAATTCTGTGGCAGACAGCTTTCAGACTCACACTGCAACTCTTCCCTGGGTCTCCAGCCTCCACCTCCATTTTACATAGGATGAAACTGAGGCACAGTTGTTCAAGTTCATATAATAGCTAATGAACATCAAACTGTCATTTGAATCCAGATGGTGTGACTCCAGAATCTTTCCTTAAGGGCCAAGTTATTGATATGGACTGAGTGTGTGCATCCTCCCCAGATTTGTATGCTGAAGCCCTAAGCCCCAGTGTGATGGTATTTGGAGGTGGGCATTTGGGAGGTAATTAGGTTTAGATAAAGTCATGAGGGTGAAGCCTCCATGATGGGATTAGTATCTTTGTAAGAAAAGGAAGAGGCCAGGTGCAGTGATTCATGCCTGTAATCCCAGCACTTTTGGAGGCTGAGGCAGGTGGATCACCTGAGCTCAGGAGTTCGAGACTAGCGTGACCAACATGGTGAAACCCTGTCTCTACTAAAAATACAAAATTAGCCGGGCATGGTGGCACATGCCTATAATCCCAGCTACTCAAGGGGCTGAGGCAGGAGAATCCCTTGAGCCTGGGAGGCAGAGATTGCAGTGAGCCAAGATTGCGCCATTGTACTCCAGCCTGGGCAACAAGCGTGAAACTCCATCTCAAAAAAAAAAAAAAAAAAAAAAGAAGAGGAAGAGTGCTTACTCTTGCTTTCTCTCTCTCTCTCTCTCTCTCTCTCTCTCTCTCTCTCTGTCTCTCTCTCTCCCATGTGAGGACTCAGAAAGAAGGTGACCAGGCATCTGCAAGCCAGAGAGAGCCCTCACCAGGAACCCAATCAGCCAGCACCTTGATCTTGAACTTGGGGCCTGAAGAACTTAGAGAATTAAATGTCTGTTGTTTAAGAATTCCAGTCTATGGTATTTTGTTACGGCAGCCTGAGGTAATTAGGACAGTTATTAACATTTTTCTGAGACTGGTTCTTTTGCACATTAGTATCTAGGCCCGTGCCTGGAACAGAGAGACCATCATTATGTATTTGTTAAATAAATAAGAAATGGAACCAGAAGGAATATCAATTTCTAAATCAGGTCTTTGGGCAGTGCTCTGCATGTTCCTTGATGTCGATGGATGTTCAAGAGTTTCTCTTGGAAGAGCATGGAAGAGGAAGGAAGTGTGTTTAGGGAAAGATTTTCTGGGATTCTCAGCCCTAGCACGGCTGCCTGGGGACCTCCTGCCATCACTGGAGAGGGGCTCTTACTTCTGTTTCAGGACAGAGCCTGGCCCCTCAAGGGCATCTGGAAAACTGTGCAAGGCAGTGCTCTTGGCCAAGGTATCAATATTCTTGGGAGGGGAGCATTGGCCTCAGCAGAGCAAAGGCTCCCTTGGAAGGCTCCCTACCCCTGGGGAGAGGTAGTATACGGTGAGTGTCACGCAGTGACTGTGACTGAGGCTGTATGTTGCATGTGAGAGGAACTCCTTTGGAGACTTCCAGAAATCCTTGGGATGGAGGTGATGGCAAACAGAGGTAGCCAGTGGAACTCTGAGTCATCATTGTTTCGAATGCATAGGATGGTGGCCAGCAGCACTAGCCAGGAGGAATCTGGGGAAGATGGAGATTGCCCTAAGGGTTGGGTCTGCTCATTCCAAGCAGCCTCAAGTCACTGGAAGGAGAATCCAACCTCAGAGGAAGGGGCAGCAATTGGACCTTGGAGGGCTATTAAAAGGTCCTGGCTCAGAACCAGGATCTCTACTAAGGAGGTGAAAAGTTCAGCAGAGAAAACAAGGTATGGGTCCAGCTCAACATGAGGGCAGGGAAAGGAGAAGAAAGGCCATGACCTAGAATCTACAAGGAATCCTAGAATTCCAGCACCCCAGGGACTGGATCTACTTAGGAGCAGCAGAATTCTGTCTAAACCCCCAATTGGGAGCAGTTATATACATTACATTATTTATTTATTTTTGAAATAATTTGTAGAGACAAGGTCTTGCTATGTTGTTCAGGCTGGTCTTGATCTCCTGAGCTCAAGCGATCCTCTCGCCTCAGCCTCCCAAAGTGCTGGGATTATAGGCATTAGCCGCTACACCTGGCTATAAATTACATTTAAAAAGGACCCAGTAGGCTGGGTGCAGTGGCTCACACCTGTAATCCCAGCACTTTGGGAGGCCGAGGTGGGAAGATCACCTGAGGTCAGGAGTTTGAGACCAGCCTGGCCAACATGGTGAAACCCTATCTCTACCAGAAACACAAATATTAGCTGGTTGTGGTGGCGGAGCCTGTAGTCCCAGCTACCCGAGAGGCTGAGGCAGGAGAATGCTTGAACCCGGGAGGTGGAGGTTGCAGTGAGCCGAGATCGCATCACAGCACTCCAGCCTTGGCAACAGAGTGAGATTCTGTCTCAAAAAAAAAAAAAAAAAGTTGGGGAGACCCAGTGCAAAATGAAAGTGCAAGGCCATTTGTTCCAAAATTATGAATTTCAGGACAGCGACAGTAGAGTCCATCCAGCCCAGGACCCTGTGCAACTGTCCCTGCTCCACCAACTGGGGGAACCAAGATTGCCTTCCTTCCTGTGTTTTCTGTGGGGAGGGGTTAAGCCTAAGACGATAGATATGGGTATTCACAGAGATCTGGGTTTGAGTATCAGCTCCAGCACTTTGTGTCTGGGTGAACTCAGAGCCTCTTGCTCCAGGTTTGTTTCCTCATCAGAATAATGGAGTTAATAAAAGTCCCTACCTGTAAGGCACATTTATTTGCTTCCATTTCATCCAAGGGCAATTCCTGACTTGTATTTGAGGATCCACTCACTCTTCCCCTTCTCTTGGTGTTTAATGTAGGAATAGGAGGGAGGCACATAACCGTCGGCTAAGCCAACCATTGTGGACCTGGGCATGATTCCGTGACTCAAGCCCATTCAATCTGGGTGAATCTCAGGACACCGGTGAATGGTCTCAGACTTCCTGCCCTCTGGAACAGCCTGAGTATAAGGCTGGAGTTGCTGCAGTCTTGAGTATATGCTCAGAACTTGGGAAGTCAGCAGTTAGCTGCAGAAAAACTGAGTTTTAATGGTGTCATTCACATCCTGAATCTAGCTGTGCCTGAAGGTAATGCTCCGCCTGGGCTATTTTGTCTAAAACAGTTAAATTAAATTAAACAATCGTACCTGATTCACCTCCTCCCGGACTGCTGTGAGGATGAGGTGAGAAATTCCACGTAGCCGGTGCCTGCGCACAAGTGCCCAACAAAAGGCGGCTATTATTCACTTAATGACAAGTAACCATGATCGCTGCTGTTGCCGTTGTTGTTGTTGTGGCTGTGTCTGGGTATAGCCTGGTTTGCAGTTGTGGCCCAGGCCGACTTCCAGCTGCAGAGATCTGGAGCGGCCCAAGGAAGGGGCTCCCCAGGGCTGGGTTTGTTTGGAAGCTGCGTCTCGGTGTGGGCTCCCAGTGGCAACCCTGCATGGATAATGCTGTAATTGCAGCCTTCCCAGCTGTCGGCCATGGAGACAGCCCAGAAAATGAGGTTGGCTCAGTAAATATTGAACCAAATTATGCAAATGAGCTCAAACAAGAGACTCAGCTGCAGAGATGCAGAGACACGGTCTGATTGGTGGGCCCTGGCCCCGCTTGCAGAAGACCCCTCCCCTTCCCCGTGACTGCTCTGTCAGCCTAAGGCAGCCACCTGGGCCTGCCAGAGAAGCTGGGTCAGCCCCAGGGCTGGCACAGGTGGCCCTGGGGTCACCCTTGCCTGCTACTGATCTCTATCAGTGATGAGAGGTTGAACAGCTTTGGGGAGTGGTATTCAGTTCCTGCTACATCCTCGTCTCACTCCAAAGGGGCCTGCCTTGGCAAACAAGTCTTTGAGGTCACCGACCTGGCCATGGTGATGATTTCTCTCTGATCACTATGCCGCTGCTGCTGAAGGGTTGGTACTCTTCAGGGACAGAGACATTGGGATGATGGGATGATTTATTTTCTCTGGGAGAACAGCATTTTAGTGGCTCTTCCCTATGGGCAAGTCAAGGCCCTAAAACCCCCTGCAGTGATCGGGTCTACTTCAGGGGAACTCAAGGTTCCAGAAGCAGGTTAGGAAGCAGGCAGGGTGTGGGAAAGTAAAACTCTGAAGCTCTTTTGTGCTAATGGAAGAATGTCCCTGTGGACTTCTTGGAGAAAAAATGTATCTGGGCATATCTGATGAATGAGTGGATGTGTCCGTGGACCTCATTTACAAGGTATTTGGCTGAAGGAGCAGGGCAAGTTGCAGGTAGAGCCTGGAAGAAGCGGGGAAGGGGAGGGTTGGCTTGGGTGGAGGCCACAGCACAGATCCCAGTCCTTCCCTAGGGACTGCACCCCGCAGGCAGGAGCTGAAGATGCTGTACAGGAACACAAGCAGCAGCACTCCTTTGAGGCCCAGATGCCTGAGAATGATACAAAGTGGGGAGCCTTCCCTACCCCTGCATGGACAATGGTGAGTTCAAAGAGATGAAGATGGCAGGGACAGAGTGCTGCTTTGGAAACTCAAGCATCAGATGCTCTGTGTGTCCTGCAAGATGGTCCCGTGGGTTGGACGTGGGTGCTCTCAGGGGATACCGACAGCAGTGGCAAAGCATGGCCAATGGCCACATGGGCATCAGACACCACCTAAGGAACTTAGGTGGGAGAACGTGGGAGAGGGATCTGTGAGTCCTCATGAGTCAGCCCCGGGGCCGTCTGTGCAGAATCAACAGTGAGACTTGGAGGTGGGTGGAAAAGGCCCAGCTCCCAGGGCAGCAAGTAAGGCATTACATTCCTTTCTCATTTCTGCTGCAATAAATGACCACCAGCTCTGTGACCTAAACCAATGCAAATATGTTATCTTACAGTTCCGGAGGTCAGAAGTCTCACATGGTTCTCCCTGGGCTAAAATCAAGGTGCCAGCAGGGCTGTGTTTCCTTCTGGAGACATTAGGGGAGAATTTGTTTCCTTGCCTTCTCCAGCTTCTAGAGATCACCCATGTTCCTTGGCTTGTGGCTGCAGCACTCAGGTCTCTGTTTCCTTCATCACATCTCCTTCTTCAACTCTGACACTCCTGTCTCTCTCTTACAAGGACCCTTGTGATGGATTACAATGGGCCTACCTAGATAATCCAGAACAATCTCATTTTAAGGTCCGCTGATTAGCAACCTTAATTCCATCTGCCACCTTAATTTCCAATTGCCATGGATTCTAACAGATTCACAGGTTCCAGGTACTAAGACATGAACATCTTTGGGAGGCCATGATTCTGCCTCTCACAGGCATAGACTGAGAAATTGAGTTAATACTGTTCAATGTAACCCCAAGACTGACTACAGGTTGGCAAGGCTTGGAGAAACTAGGTTGTGCTTAGAAATATTTTTATTTCCATGAAAATAAGATAATAAAGATGGCATATTGAGCGAAGCAAGTGCTGGTGACTGTTATATATGTAAAATTAGAAATTATGGGTACCATGTTATTTTCTATGTACCATGTCTTGTTCAATGTAAACTTTAGAAATGTTTTCTTCCCCACGGTGTCCGTAAGAAACTTATGAATTTGTTTTGCTATGCTGCAGACAAGCTAAAAGGAAGCTTTTTGTTTGTTTTCTTGTTTTTTTTCTTATTTTAGTCCGATCTTTATCCCAATAATCAAAACTTTTCTGGTTTTACAATTGAGTCTTCCTAAGCATTTCTACTTTCTTTTATTCTTTTTTTGTGATAGAGTCTCACTTCGTCACCCAGGCTGGAGTGCAGTGGTGAGATCTTGGTTCACTGCAACCTCCACCTCCCAGGTTCAAGTGATTCTCATGCCTCAGCCTCCCGAGTAGCTGGGACTACAGGCACGCACTACCACGCCTGGCTAATTTTTGTATTTTTAGTAGAGATGGGGTTTCACCATGTTGGCCAGGCTGGTCTGAAATACCTGGCCTCAAGTGATCCGCCCGCCTTGGCCTCCCAAAGTGCTGAGACTGCAGGCGTGAGCCCCTGTGACTGGCCACACATTTCTACTTTCAAATCCATACGAGATCATCTTTATCTAAAATTATCCCAGCAGTGGGAAGGGTAGACTGTCAATCTAGGGGAGCCAGAATTAACCATAAGAAAAACTTGCAATTGGGAAGAGAAACAGATGAGTTCATCCAACAACGAAAATGCTATTCTTGCTGCTAATCAGTTGTGAGGTAGCTGGTGGCACTGAGGAGATCCTGTATTCTTTCTGTTCGACCTAAAATACCCTCGGCCTAGTTTGATCTCCATCAGGGAGCCCTCTCCTTCCCTCCCCATCCCCTGCTCCAAGCCACAAGCCAACCTTGTTATCAGTTTAACCCTCGGTAAGGGTCTAGTCCTACCTCTTTACCTCTCTAGGCTTATCTCTCCCCACGCCCCCTCAGGCCACCTGGTAGGTCTAACCACAAGGGACCAGTCATCCTTTGGAAAACCCCAGGTACTCTCACACCTGCAGTTCTTTACTCCTGCTGTTCTTGGCTGCCTCCACCTTATTTGTCTCACTTGTCATCCTTCAAGCTCAGCTAATATGTCAACCATTCTGTGCAAAGCAGTGCCCCAAACTCAAAGATCTGAAATTGTAGGCCTCCTACTGCCAGAGGCAAGGGAAGAGAACTGGATCTAATAAGTTTTTAAAATACACGGTAAAATAATTTTTTTTTTTTGACATGTAGTCTAGCTCTGTGGCCCAGGCTGGAGTGCAGTGGCACAATCTGAGCTCACTGCAACCTCTGCCTCCCGGGTTCAAGTGATTCTCCTGCCTCAGTCTCCTGAGTAACTGGAATACAGGTGTCCGCCACCACGCCCAGCTAATTTTTGTATTTTTAGTAGAGACAGGGTTTCATTGTGTTGTCCAGGCTGGTCTCGAACTCCTGAACTCATGATCCACCCACCTCAGCCTCCCAAAGTGCTGGGATTACAGGCGTGAGCCACCACGCCCAGCCAGTACACAGTAAAATACCTTAAAAATTCATAATAGGTAGCTTTTACTGCTCACTTTCAACCTAGCCCTTGTTGAGTGCGCTGTGCTCATGGTCTCATTTTTCTCACTGGATGTTGTGATCTCACAGGGACTTTATGAGTCAAATCTCATCATCAGCTCCACTCTGTAGCCAGCCATACTTTAGAGATTCAGAACATGCCCAAAATTATAAAGCTGGCAAGTACCAAAGCCAGGCCTTGAAGCCAGCCTACTGATCTTCAAGCCCATGACTTTAACCTCTGTATAATCTTCATCGGATGATGAAGGCATGAAAGCCCAGGTGATCTTTCTCAATTGAGCACTGGAAGATTCTTAATGAGGGACATCAGGAAATGCTTCCTGGCAGAGGTGGCAAAAGAGATGCAGGCCAGGATGAGCACAATGGCTCACGACTGTAACCCCAACACTTTGGGAGGCCAAGGCAGAAGGATCACTTGACCCCAGGAGATTGAGACCAGCCTGGGCTAACATAGCGAGACCCCGTCTCTACAAAATAAAAATGATAGGCCGAGCACAGTGGCTCACACCTGTAATCCCAGCATTTTGGGAGGCTGAGGCAGGCGGATCACTTGAGGTCAGGAGTTTGAGACCAGCCTGGCCAACATGCTAAAACCCTGTCTCTACTACAAATATAAAAATTAGCCAGGCATGGTGGTGGGTGCCTGTAATCCCAGCTACGCAGGAGGCTGAGGCATGAGAATCGCTTGAACCCAAGAGGCAAAAGTTACAGTGAGCTGAGATCATGCCACTGCACTCCAGCCTGGGTGACGAAGTGAGACTCTGTCTCAAAAAAATAAATAAAAATAAAATAAAATAGCCAGGCATGGAGGCAGCCCCCGTTGTCCTTAGCTACTTGAGAGGCTGAGGTGGGAGAATTGCTTGAGCCCAGTAGGTCTGCAGTGAGCCATAATTGCACCACCGCTCTCCAGCCTGAGTGACAGAGTGAGATAGTGTCTCAAAAAAAAAAAAAAAAAAAATACAGAGAGAGAAAGAAAGAGATGCAGAAACAGATGGCCTCTGTCTTATAGGCCCTGGGGGCAAGACACTGGGCAGACAGAGGGAAGCCACACAAAGAAGCCCAGCTGCACAGGCTCCAGGAGTGCTCCCAGATGCTGCAAGAATGCAGGCAGGGAGGGGACTGAAAAGTGGGATGGCCCTTGGCTTGGTCACTTCCTGCTGCTGAGGGAATCAGGTGTGTTCTACGGTAAGATTTAAAAAATAAAATGAGCCTAGGGAGAAAAATCCAGGCTTGCTGAACTAATAAATCAGTGGGAGAGGTGAGCGCTTGCTCTAGTGAGGCATTTATGATTGGCTGCCTTTCATTGAGCCACACGGCGAGCTCATTCGGTGAGCAGAAAGCCCGGCAGAGCAGGCCTGCGATCTGGCAGACTGCGGGGTCCAGTCCAGGCTGTGCTAATCTCTTCATCTTTCTGAGTCTCGGCTTCCTTATTTGTAATACAGGGGTGCTATATGTTCTACCTACTTTACTGTGGTAGGAAGAGTCACTGAAATAAAGAAAACAAAAATTGCCTATAATTCACAAAGTTCCTACACAAGAAACCAGTAATAGTATTCTTTTATAGGGAGGGGAACGGGGTGGCTGGGAGATAGGAATGGGAGGGAGACTTTATGGTGTGTATCTTTTTACATGTTTTGCTATTTTGAACCACAAGAATAAACTATTCATTGAAAAAAACTTAGAAAAAAATCAATAAAGGCAATAATAAGGTCAGAACTAATAATGCAAGCAATCGTCATTATCATCATTATCATGGTCAAAATCACCAATGTCATCATTATTTTATTTATTTATTTATTTTTTTGAGACGGAGTTTTGCTCTGTTGCCCAGGCTGGAGTGCAGTGGTGCGATCTCGGCTTAGTGCAACCTCCGCCTCCCAGGCTCAAGTGATTCTCCTCTTTCAACCTCCCGAGTAGCTGGGATTACAGGCATGCACCACCACGCCAGGGTAACTTTTTGTATTTTTAGTACATGTTGGCCAGGCTCGTCTCGAACTCCTGACCTCAGGTGATCTGCCTGCCTTGGCCTCCCAAAGTGCTGGGATTACAGGGTGAGCTGCTGTGCCTGGCCCATTATTTAAAAGGTTATTTCCACATAATCTTACCAGTTTACTCTCAGTAAGTAAGTAAGTAGTAGTCAGTAAGTAAGAAATTGGTCATTGCCTCCAAAGTTCCTGGTCTAGCACCCTACCATGCTGTCATATTCAGTGCGTATTCAGTGGCCTTCCGCTTCTGCAAGGACCAGAGGCCTTGGAGGTAGTGGGGTGGGGAGCTTTCAACCTAGCGTAACCTACCATGGAATATTAAGCAGTCATTTAAGAAGAGATGGAGCCCTTCCAGGTGACCCGGAGGAATATCTGGGAGTTGTTGCTGATGGAAAAAGGCAAGATGCAAGGAAATGGGTGATCTCATTTTATAAAACAAAGACCAGTATAGCATCCAGCTACAGAAAACAAACACTGTGTGTTCGTATGTGTATGGAGAAAAGGAAGGAAATGTTCAGAATGTGAACAAAGATTGTCTGTGGGGTCTAGATGAGATAGGGAGCTGGGGTCGGGGGATAGCAGTGGATAGTGTTGATGATTTAAAAAGTTGGGCACCTTCTCACTTATGATCATTTACATATGCTATGTATGGGTGTGCGTGGCTGTATGAAGAGGTGCAAAGAAATCTGATAGAAGACCATCCTGACCAACTCCCTCTCTACTAAAAATACAAAAATTAGGCCGGGCATGATGGCTCACGCCTGTAATCACAGCACTTTGGGAGGCTGAGGCGGGTGGATCACGAGGTCAGGAGCTCGAGACCATCCTGGCTAACATGGTGAAACCCCATCTCTACTAAAAATACAAAAAATTAGCCGGGCGCGGTGGCAGGTGCCTGTAGTCCCAGCTACTCCGGAGGCTGAGGCAGGAGAATGGCATGAACCCGGCAGGTGGAGCTTGCAGTGAGCCAAGATGGCGCCACTGCACTCCAGCCTGGGCCACAGAGCAAGACTCCATCTCAGAAAAAAAAAAAAAAAAGTACAAAAATTAGCTGGGCATGGTGGTGCACACCTGTAATCCCAGTTACTCAGGAGGCTGAGGCAGGAGAATCACTGGAACCCAGGAGGTGGAGGTTGTGGTGAGCCAAGATCACGCCACTGCACTCCAGCCTGGCGACAGAGCAAGACTCTGTCAAAAAAAAAAAAAAAAAAAAAAAAAGAAAAAGAAAAAGAAATCTGATAGGCAATATTCATAGTAGTTAGTTCTCTCAGGGTGGTGAGATTCTAGGTGACTTATTTTTTTTTGGTCCAGATATTTATATAAATAGTTCTGATTATGAGAAGTCAACATGTATTATTTATGTAATCAGAAAAATCTACTTCTAAGGTGAATGATAATTAAAACAAACTAAATGACTGATAGGTGTCACTCTATCAGTCATCAGCTGGAGTTACAAATGAGGTAGGATGTCTTTTAAAATTCAAATGGGGCTGGGCGCAGTGGCTCACACCTGTAATCCTAGCACTTTGGGAGGCCGAGGCGGGTGGATCACCTGAGGTCAGGAGTTTGAGACCAGCCTGGGCAACATGGTGAAACCCTATCTATACTAAAAATATAAAAATTAACCAGGTGTGGTGGGATACCTGTAATCCCAGCTACTCCAGAGGCTGAGGCAGGAGAATCACTTGAATCTGAGAGGCAGAGGTTGAAGTGAGCAGAGATCATACCATTGCACTCCTTCCAGCCTGGGCAACAGAGCAAGACTCCGTCTCAAAAAAAATAAAATAAAATTTGAATGGGATACTTCTAAGACTGCTGACAAAGAGGGGACATCGTTTGCCCCTCCCTGGTTCTTCTTACTCTGCTAAATCCAATAATCCCAGAGGTGCAGTTTTGACCTCAGCCGTGGCCCTGGGGTGTTCTGCAGCCACCTGCTGGGGAGCAGGGCCACCTTGGCCACCTCAGCTGGTTGTTGACTCCAGGGAAGGCTGGCTGCCAGTGGTGGCTGCCATGCCACCACCATCTCCGGCCTGCCTGCCGTCGCTCTCCCTTGCTTAATCCCAGGGCCAACTTGAAGCTCTCAGTAAAACTCGAGCCCGGTGCTATAGCCGATTGCCACCACTAATGCTCATCCCCGGGTCGTTCCTCGGCACAGGATGCTCTACTCTCAGCAGTGCCACCCTGGGGGAGTGGGAAAGGGGACCCACTGCAGAAACCAGCTGCTAGTGGTTTCCCTACAGCAGGGTACAGTGCTTTAGGGACAGGGCTCTTTCGGCTTGCGAGCATACACACACACAGAGCTACTTTCCACCAGGCAACCCCATGGTCTCAGAAGGACTGGGGTCCAGAGCACAGTGATCCTAGAGCCAGCCCACTCCTACCACCTGGGTGAAGGAGCACCCAGGCTCAGTGCCCAGTGTCAGCCCTGGTCTCTTTGTTGCTCAATGGCGAACCTCTAATCACCCTCAGGCTTACACCCTCAGAGGCTGGTGATCCCACTGAATGGGGCAACGCCACAGTTATGTGGGGAGAAGAGGTTGGGAGCATTGTCAGGGAAAATGTCAGTGGTCTCTCTCCTGACACAGAGGGAAGGGGACTCCACTCTACTCCCTGGAAAGAATGTCCTTTCTCTCTCCTATTTTTTCAAATTTTAATTAATTTTTTTTTTTTGAGAGGGAGTCTCACTCTGTCATCCAGGCTGGAGTGCAGTGGCATGATCTCAGTTCACTGCAACCTCTGCCTTCCGGGTTCAAGTGATTCTCCTGCGTCAGCCTCCCAGTAGCTGGGATTATTGGCACATGCCACCACACCTGGCTAATTTTTTTTTTTTTTGTATTTTTAGTAGAGACAGGGTTTCACTATGTTGGCCAGGCTGGTCTTGAACTCCTGACCTCAGGTGATCCACCTGCCTCAGCCTCCCAAGGTGCTGGGATGGCAGGAGTGAGCCACTGTGCCCGGCCTCTCTCTCCTCCTCTTTACTTGTCCTCATGGTAGGTTGTCACTCAGGCAAGAATGCAGGTGTTCATTCCGGTGGGCTCGCTTTATTCTTCCAGACTGCATCAGGATCTGTGTGCTCCTTCTTGGGGCTCCCAGCCAGCCCCTGCATGGGGTGCCAGGGTGGGCTAGGATTAGGGTTAGGGTTGCAATTAGTGTCATGATCAGGGTTAGGGTGTACTTTGTTGGGTGGGGGGAAACAGGCAGGTCCACATTGCATTCTTCAGTCCAGCTCACCTTGAAAACCTGGTGTTTTTTGACCTTGTGTCTATTTGTCAAGTGGCTCAGATCTCAGGGAGCAAAACCATGTGATTGATTAGCCAAAACCCCCCCGTACCACTCATCATCAGTGCTTGACAACCTCCACCATGAGAACTGACCTCCTGGTCTCGCCACACTGCACCAGCCAGGTCCCCAGAGGAAGCCTCTGTGTGGTCCGTTTCCAAGGGCCCCCTCATTTCTGCTCCAGGATGATGGGCAGTGGGGGTACCCACTGTTTTGCCACTGTAGCACCATAGAGAGTGAGGAAAATCAAGGACCGTGACAGTCGACATTTCCCAAGGTCTTTGTTGTTTACTCACATTCCAGTTGAATGAATGAACGAACTGATTTTTAGTCAGCTGGTTGTGCTACCATTGTAGAGAAGGGAGTACTTTACTTACGCTGCCTGATGTATCCTCACAGTAGCCCTATGAGTAGGCACCATTCTTCCCCTATTAGAAGGGAGGAAATGAAGTCTCTGAGAGGTGACATGCCTGGGTGAGTGGCAGAGTCTTGGCCTGAGTCTCTCTGATACCAGAGTTCCTGCTCCCTGAACTCCTGCAGAGTGGCTGAGGAGGGAGGCTGAGCTAGCTGACTTGAGGCTGACATGCTCTGAGAGTCAAGTTTGCAGGTGGGACATCATAAGTCTGTGGATGCATATGAGGTCACAGTAGGCTGACCCACTGTGACAACAGAAATATATAGATATATTTATATTTATTTTTCCCTGGTTTCTGGCACAGAGCTTCTAACATTCTTCTCATTTCCTGAGCGATAGCGGTGCTAGGAGCATTTTTTTTGTTCTAATATTTTGTCTTTGACCCCAGTTCCTGACACAGAGTTCCTAAGTCCCTTGGAATTTCCTAGGTGATAAGAACGTCTTTTGTCCTAATCTGAGGTGGCTCTCTGTAAGCCCCTGAACAATGTCAGGGTGGGGGCTGATTGCCAGGAAGACCAAACCATGATTAGAAGCTTAGGTCTTTCAGCCCCACTCCCCATGCTCCAGAGAGACGAGAGGAGATGGAGACTGAGTTAGTAATCCGTCAAGCCCACGTGATGAAGCAGCCATAAAAATCCCTAAAAGGCAAAATGGGAGAACTTCTGGGTCAGTGAACGTGTCATGTGTTGGAAAGGTGGCACGACCGAAGTCCATGGGGACAGAAGCTCCCGTGCTCACGCCCTCTGGAGCTTGCCCTACATGCAAGATCTTCATCTGGCTGTTCATGTGTTTATTCTATCAAGTCCTTTGTCATAAACTGGTAAATGTGAGTAAGTCTTTCCCTGAGTTCTGTGAGCTATCATATTGTTGAACCTGAGGAGGGGGTTGTGAGAACCCCAGATTTGTTGCCAAGTTGGATGGAACTGTGAGTAACCTGGAGATCCACTCTTGGTGGTTGGTGGCTGAAGCGTGGGTGATCTTGTGGGGCTGAGCCCTTAACCTGTGGAGTCTGTGCTTACATTAGGTGATCAGTGTCGCAAATGAATTGTGAGGCACCCAGTTGGTGTCTGGAGAGTTGGGGAATTGGTTGGTGCGGGGAAACCCCCTGATACTCACTGTCACCAGATTATATGAGTCTAAGGCCCCACTCTGCTTTCAGGGATCATGCCAAGTAGTTCCCTCTTCTTCCATCTCTATGTCAGCATCCCGGCTTCTGGCACTTTGTTTCTGGATCCTGCACTGTCTCTGGGATTTGACTGCAGCACCTGCAGAATAGAATATCTCAGAGTTATTTTTCTGAAATAAAGATTTCAAATTATAGACTAAATAATGAATAATGTAGGGGTCGTATATGTTTTTATGTTATGACTCCTGTAAATATTGCTGGCTCATCAACAGAACAGCCAGACATGTAAGAGTAATTAAATGCAGTTGTCTTTAATACTTTGCTGACTTTCCATGAAAAACATAGCTTTTACATATTTCTGATTTTGTCAAAAATCAAATCTTCAAAGTAGGAGAATAGGAATACTTTATTTAGCAGTTTGTTAGCTTGATTCATAATAATTAAAACATCTACACATATAGTATGTAGACCCTCATTTGGACTTCCATCTCTGGCTTTGATAAGTTAGGCATAGGACTGAGCTATCCTTAAGTTTCTAGAAGGAGTTCAGTGATTCAATATTATTGACTTCAATGATTAAAAATTAAACATTTAATATTGCTTTTTTTAAAAAATTAACACTTTAAAAAACTGTGGCCAGGCACAGCGGCTTATGCCTGTAATCCTAGCACTTTGGGAGACCAAGGCAGGTGAATCACCTGAGGTCAGGAGTTTGAGACTAGCCTAGCCAATATGGTGAAACCCCATCTCTACTAAAAATACAAAATTAGCCAGGTGTGGTGGCGCGTGCCTGTAATCCCAGCTACTTGGGAGGCTGAGGCAGAATTGCTGGAACCCAGGAGGTGGAGGCTGCAGTGAGCCGAGATAGCGCCACTGCACTTCATCCTAGGTGACAGAGTAAGACTCCATCTCAATAAAACAAACAAAAAAAATTGTATTTTCCTTACCAAATCTTAACTCATTGCAGACCAGTGGAACATGGCCTCATGCTGCCAGGGAAAGCCCAAGGTAAAGCTTTTCCTGTTGTCTCCCCTTAACTGAGAAGTGTCTAACTCAGCAAGCCAAGCTCATGTAAAAACCAGTCATTACAACTACTTCTTTAAACAAATGTAGATTTCCTCAGTACTGTGCAACCAAACAAAAATGAAAATTTAGGATAAAGTGATGCAGAGACTGATTTTAGGCCATTAGCAAGCATCCACAGGCTTCCCAATTTCCATTTTTTTGTTATTTGTTCAAACAATTGTATGTTTATACTCTTATTATAATAAGAAAATCAATACATTCAGACACATAAAGGCTTATGATGAGAACTGTGGCTTTTATCTAATTTTTAGGAGACGGAATGACATTTTTTTTCTCCCATTACTGCTCTACAGGACATGGCACTGGTTATCAGAAAAGAAGGGAGAAATCTATTTTTAGTAATAACAATTCACCTGAGAGGAAGCGATCTAAAAAATTTGAAGGTTTGAATTGTTGTACAGGTCCCTACTCAACACACCTACACTGTCACCAAGTTTATAATTAGAGAGAATATGAAAATGATGAGGCTGGGCATGGTGGCTCACACCTGTAATCCCAACACTTTGGGAGGCCAAGGTGGGAGGATAGCTTGAGCCCAGGAGTTTGAGACCAGCCTGAGCAATATAGTGAGACCCTATCTCTTCAAAAAATAAAAAATTAGCCTGGCATAGTGGCACACAGCTGTAGTCCCAGCTACTTGGGAGGCTGAGGCAGGAGGGTCACTTAAGCCTAGGAGATCAAGGCTGCAGTGAGCTATGATCGTGCCACTGCACTTCAGCCTGGGTGACAGAGTGAGACTTTGTCTCAAAAAGAAAAGAAAATGGTGAACATTCTAAAGGTGGGACCAAAGAAGAGAGGTGGACGAAGTTTAAAAATGTCAAGAGAAGCCGGGCGCAGTGGCTCACGCCTGTAATCCCAGCACTTTGGGAGACTGAGGTGGGTGGATCACGAGGTCAGGAGGTCGAGACCAGCCTGGACAACACAATGAAACCCCGTCTCTAGTAAAACTACAAAAATTAGGCGGCCATGGTGGCGGGCACCTGTAGTCCCAGCTACTCGGGAGGCTGAGGCAGGAGAATGGCGTGAACCCGGGAGGCGGAGCTTGCAGTGAGCCGAGATCGCGCCACTGCACTCCAGCCTGGGCGACAGAGCGAGACTCCATCTCAAAAAAAAAAAAAGAAAAAAAAAATGTCAAGAGAAGAAAAAGAGGGTTCCAAATGTGAGAGCCATGGTCACGTAAGAGGCTTTTGGAACCAAGGATGAATCCATACCTAAAGTAAAAATATGTTCGATTCAGTCTTCTGGATTCAGCATTGTGATTGTAGCTTCTAACATTGAGGGTTTGGTGATGCACTGAACCACTCCTCTTTCTCTTCACTAAGCGCATGGTATTGGGGTTACAGATAGACTGGATTCTGTGTAAGACTTTGTTCATTGAAAGGGTTTCACTGCTTAAAAACAAATAAGACAGGCAGGTGCGGTGGCTCATGCCTGTAATCCCAGCATTTTGGGAGGCTGAGCGGGGAGGATCACCTGAGTTCAGGAGTTCGAGACAAGTCTGGCCAACATGGTGAAACCCTATCCCTACTAAAAATACAAACATTAGCCAGGTGTGTTGGCATGTGCCTGTAATCCTAGCTACTTGGGAGGCTAAGGCAGGAGAATCTCTTGAACCCGGGAGATGGAGGTTGCAGTGACCAGAGATAGCACCACCGCATTCCAATCTGGGTGACAGAGCAAGACTCTGTCTCAAAAAAAAAAAAAAAGAAAGAAAAAGACATTAAAAGCAGCTGTTCTCTGAGTTGGAACAAAAGGTTTGTTTTTTTCTGGTTGTTGTTGTTTTTGTTTGTTTGTTTTCCCACAGAGGCTCTCCAGGCATCAGCTTCACAGAGAGAATCTTGATGCCCAACAAGGACAGCATTTTCAGAGATGTACCCTTACAAGGGGTCCCCATACAAGATTGAAATGGTAAGCGATGTGTTTCATGTTTGCCCCTGAACTGAAGCTCTGACAAAGATACACTCCTATGTTCTAATTAGCTGGATATATGTCTAAGATATATATGTCTAAGATATAGTAATCCATATGGTACATTTAATTTACAAAGTGCTTTAGTATAGTCACTAAACATGCGACAAGTATTTATTGAGAGCCTACTATACGCCAGGCATTTGGTAGATATCTGGTAACAAAATAGACAAAAATCCCTCTCTTACATTCTGGAGAGAAAAGACAGTCAATAATATGCCAGACCTCTGCTCCAGACCAAGATGAAATAACAGAGACTGGTTTTACTCTTTTGCTTGAAACAATGAAAAAATTTGGATAAATTTTATAAAACAACTGTTTTAAAGACATTGGACATCAGGCCATGAAGGACCTGAAAGGTGGGACACAAGTGAGGCAAGCCCCATGATTACTCCCTAGACAGGGAGAAGGAAAATAATAGCAGATGGAAATTTAGATCCACACAAAGGAAAAACTGACACTAGAAATGTTATATATGTGGGCAAATATAAAAGATTTTTAAAAATCATTACTTAAGTCTCTTTAAGAGATAATTGACTTTTAAAAGCAAAAATACTAACAATGATTATAGGTTTTATAACATATGTAGAAGTAAAACGTATAACAACAATTACACAAGGCTGGGAGGAAAGAAACAGATGTATGTTGGTGTAAGGTTATTTTACTGTTGTAAGGTAGCATAATATTACTGAGGGTAGACTGTGATGTGTTAAAGATGCATACTGTAAACTCTAAAGCAACCATTACAGTAAGACAACAAAGAGTAAGAGCTAATTAACTAACAAAAGAGACAACATGAAATCATAAAAAAATATGCAATTGGCTGGGCGCAGTGGCTCACGTCAGTAATCCCAGCACTTTGGAAGGCCAAGGCGGGTGGATCACTTGAGGTCAGGAGTTCGAGACCAGCGTGGGCCACATGGTGAAACCCCATCTCTACCAAAACAACAACAACAAAATTTAGCCAGGAGTGGTGGCGCACCTTTAGTCCCAGCTACTCAGGAGGCTGAGGCAGGAGAATCGCTTGAACCCGGGAGGTGGAGGTTGCAGTGAGCCGAGATTGTGCCACTGCACTCCAGCCTGGGCGACAGAGCGAGACCTGGTCTCAAAACAAAAACAAAAACAAAACACACAGTTAATCAAAAGAAAAGCAGAAAAAAAAAAGAGGAAAGAAAAAACAGATGGGACATAAATTGCAAGATGGTAGATTTAAATCCAATGATATCAATAAACAATAAAGAATAAATAAATACAGTTTTAAAACAAGTAGTATTATATGTTAGAACGTAATAAGTGAGATAATAAACTTGAACATGACAAAAGGGTAGAAAGTCATGAGGGGCAGCCTGTAATTTTAAATGAGGTGTACAGGGTGAGACTCATTAAGAAGGTGACAGGAGGTGAGGAGGCCAGCTTTGCAAATAAATGTGAGATTCAAAGGCTCTAAGACACATGCATGTCTGGTGAATCAGAAATAGAAAGAAGGCCAAGGCGGCTGGAGAAGAATGAGTGAGAGGGCAACAGTAGGAGATGAGGGCAGAGAGATAAGGAGATCTGGATAAGGACAGATCACAGAGGCCACAGTCATACTCTGAGTGAAATATGGAGCCATCTCTGCACTCTAAGGACAAGAGTGACCTTCTCTGACACATGCTTCAAAAGCATTCATCCGAGTCTGTTTTGAAAATACCCTGGGCAGGGGAGGGCAAAGGTAGAATCAGGGGGACTGGGTAAGAGGCAATTTAACAATTCAAGTGAGCAATGATGGAGGCCTGGACCACAGAAACGGCAGTAGAGGGAAGGAGTGGTTGGATTCTGGATTTATTCTGGAGGTGGAGACAGCAGCACTTCCTGTGGAATTGAAGATGGAGTTTGACAGGAAGGGAGAGAGACATCAAGGTTGATCTAAGGCATTTTGCTTGAGCAAATGGAAGGATAAGATCCCCATCAACTGAAAAGGGAAAATCTGTGGCTAGAGCAGATTGGGAGCAGAGCAGTTCATTCTGGAGATGCTGAATTTGAGATGTCTATTGAATATCCAAGGGCAGATGTCAAAAGGCTGGTGGGGGTATCTGGGCTTAAGATAAATGTCTGAGAATCATCAGCTTAGAGATGATATTGAAAGTAAGATCACCAAGGAACAAGTGTAGGTAGAGAAAAGGAGAAGAAAAGTACCAGCCTCTAAAAACATTCCAACAGAGAGAAAGAGAGGCCAAAAGAGACTAAGTAGGTGGCCAGGTGTAGTGGCTCACTTCTCACTTCTGTAGTCCTAGCACTTTGGGATGAGCACCGAGGCAGGCAGATGGCTTGAGCCCAGGAGTTCTAGACCAGCCTGGGCAACATGGCAAAACCCCATCTCTACAAAACAATAAAAAAATTAGTCAAGCGTGGCGGCATGCCTGTAGTCACTGCTACTTGGGAGGCTGAGGTGGGAGGATCACTTGAGCCTTGGAGGTTGAGGCTGCAGTGAGCTGTGACCATGCTACTGCAGTCCAGCCTGGGCAACAGAGCAAGACCCTGTCTCAAAATTAAAAAAAAAGAAAAAAAAGAGAGAGAGACTAAGAAGGAGCTATCAGTGAGAAGGTGGAAAACAAGAAAGTAAGATGACCAGAAAGCCGAGTAAAGAAATATATCAAGAGGAGGGAATAAATAATGATGTCAGACGCTGCTGATAAGTTAAGTAACAGGAAGACTGAGAATTGACCACTGAGTTTTGCAATGTGGAGGTCGCTAGTGATAAAGATGGTTTTGGTGGGGGAATTGGAGAGAAAGTCTCATTAGAGTTGGTTTAAGAAAAAATGTGGAGAGAGAAATTGGAGATGGCACATATAGATAAGTCTTTCAAGGAACTTTGCCTATAAAAGGGAGCAAGGAGGAAGAGGGATAGGAGGGTTTTTCTTTTTTTCAAAGATAGGAAGAATAACAGCCTATTTCTTTGCTTATTGGAATGATCTAGTAGCAAAAAACCGATCACGTAGGTGGGAGAGAGAACTGCTAGAGCAACGTTCTTGGAGGGAAGGGGGCGGAGACATAGAGCATGGGGGGAGAGACCGTGAATCAATCATTCCCCATCTCTGGTGCTCAGAGTTGTAAGGTTGGAATTGTTTTGATTTATTTAATATTATAGAGCCAGATGGCATCTGGTGTTGGGGCCATGTGTCTATTTTATTAACATCTCCAGAAAGATGGATTCTGGGTCCTTTGGGAGATAGTTTGAAGAGAGACCCTGCAAAATTTTCCCTGGCACTCATACACACAGTCTTTAGCTTCTTGGACACCTCTGTCTGGGTTTGCCAAGCTCTTGGTCATCAATTACAGTGGAATTCTGTATAACTCCAGTAAGCAAACGCACTGGGACGTCACGTCTCATGTGCTCTGCCTCTAAGTATTGGTGTTGGTGCGCTCATCAGGATAGAGGATGCAAGTGTAGGAAAAGGTTCATATCTAAGTATAACCACAAAAAAGCGTAAGTTTCATGAGAGAACGTGAACCAAAAAGAAAAGAAAAAGGAATAAAGAGTAAGTTGCCAAGAATGTAGGAGGGGAACCTTGAGAGAAACGTGTGGAAACCTAGGGAAGTGAGTTTCATGAAGAATGGGGTAATTGACATGACGGTGTCAAAGAGAGGTCAAGTAAGATAAGGGCTGAAAAGCACTCACTGGGTTTGGCTAAAGGAGGCTCTGTCAAAGCAGTTTCAGTGGGAAGGTCAGGAGGAAGCCAGATTGCTGTGGGCTGAGGATGTGTAGGAGGCGAGGAAGTGGAGACAAAGCGTGAGGGATATCTGTTCAATTCATTTGGCTGCAAAGTGTGGGGAAGAGATGCAATGACAAGTTAAGGGCAAGGCATGGAGAAGGGAGAGCTATTTCAAAATGGAAGACATTTGGAGTGCTTACCTGCAGAGAGGAGAGAAATAGGATGATGGATTGGAGTAAAGGACAGAAAAAGGAAAATCAATGGAGCAGAGTTCTAAAGGGGATGGAAGAGACTCAGAGAACCAGTAGAGAGGGAGAAAAGAAGTGAAAATACAGAGATATTTTGAGGTGGACAGAAGGTGGGCATTCGCATGGTGCAGTAGGAGGTGAGATAGGATGAAAGACTTTGGGAAATGCTTGGGGTGTTTTAGGAGGCAAGGCATCTTTGAAAAACTGGTGCAGGAAAGATGCTAAAGCTGGATAAGAGGATTGTGGAACAACATTGTGGGGCCACTGACTCTTCAACATGAGTTTAGCGCCTGCTAATATTACTCCCTGCTCCTTGAAAAAGGAGCAACTGGGTGTGGCAGAAGGAAAAGCGTGGTAACATAGGATCCCCAGATCAGGATTAATCAAACCATAAATAATCACTATGGGAAGCAGTACGGAGGTTCCTCAAAACTAAAAATACAGTTACCATATGACCCAGCAATCCCTCTTCTGGGTATTTACCCAAAAGACTTGAAGTCAGTAATGTCAAAGAGATATGTGCATTCCCATGTTCATTGCAACACTATTCACAGTAGCCAAGTTATGGAATCAACCTAAGAGCCCATCAAGGGATGAATGGATAAAGAAAACGTGGTATATATACACCGTGGAATACTATTCAGCCTTTAAAAAGGAAGGGATGGCCAGGTGCAGTGGCTCACGCCTGTAATCCCAGCACTTTGAGAGGCTGAGGCAGGCAGATCACGAGGTCAGGAGTTTGAGACCAGCCTGACCAAAATAGTGAAAGCCCGTCTCTACTAAAAATACAAAAATTAGCCAGGCATGGTGGTGGGCACCTGTAATCCCAGCTACTCAGGAGGCTGAGGCAGGAGACTCGCTTGAACCCGGGAGGAGGAGGTTGCAGTTAGCTGAGATCACACCACTGCCTTCCAGCCTGGGTGACAGAGCAAGACTCTGTCTCAAATAAATAAATAAATAAATAGGAAGAGATTCTGTCATTTGTGAAAACACAGATGGAATTGGAGAACATTGTGTTAAGTGAAATAAGCCAGACACAGAAAGACAAATACCACATCTTCTCAATTATATGTGGAATCTCAAACAATTGAACTCAAGGAAGCAGAGAGTAGAAAGGTGGTAACTAGAGGCTGGAGGGTGGGAAGAAAATAGGGAGATGATGGTCAAAGTGTATAAAGCCTCAGAGAGGAGGAATAAGTCTGAACTTTTCTTTCTTTATTCTTTTGCTGAGATCAATTACATAGCATGATGAATATGGTTAATAATTGTGTATTATGTTTAAATTTCTCTAAGAGAGTACATTTCAAATGTTCTTATCAAAAAATGTTAAATATTTGAGGTGATAAATATGTTAATTAGCTTGATTTAACCATTATATTCAAAGTCATAACACCACTTTGTACCACATAAATATAATGTATATTTTGTCTATAAATTTATGTTTAACATATAATTTACGTTTATAAATTATATTTCTAGCAAACTATAATCTATAATTTATTATTTATAATTATACTCTGTAATTTATCTGTAAAAATAATTCATCAATAAAAATGAAATTAAATTCAAAATAAAAATAAAAATTTTTTAAAAAATCATAAAGAACCTGTCAAGGATTATGAATCCATTTCTAACCACCCAGAGGTAACCCCTAAGAGGCAGTTTCGCTATCTTTGCTCTTCAACCTGTTGAAATGTATTGGGACAGAAACTCAAATTTCCCCTTCTGTCAAAGAAAAAATAAGGCAATCCAAGAGGAACTGTTTAGAATAGTTCCAGATGGCTGAGTCAAAAAAAAAAAAAAAAAAAAACTGAGCTACGTGTGGCCCTTTATAAGTAGGCCAAAAAGTAGGGTTTTTGAGCACAGTAATGCCAGGGCTATTGTATTGCAAGGAAAAGAGTCAATATTTTCTTGGCCAGGCACAGTGGCTTACTGACTGTAGTCCCAGCACTTTGGGAGGCCAAGGCAGGTGGATCACCTGAGGTCAGGATTTCGAGACCAGCCTAGACAACATGGCGAAACCCCTTCTCTACTAAAAATACAAAAAATTAGCCGGGCATGGTGGCACGCACCTTTAATTACAGCTACTTGAGAGGCTGAGGCGGCTGTAATCCCAGCTACTCAGGAGGCTGAGCAGGAGAATAGCTTGAGCCCGGGAGGTAGAGGTTACAGTGAGCCGAGATGGAGCCACTGCACTCCAGCCTGGGTGACAAGAGACAGACTCTGTCTCAAAAAAGAAAAGAGTCAATATTTTCTTTTTCTTTCTTTTTTTTTTTTTTTTTCAGATGGAATCTTGCTCTGTCACCAGGCTGGAGTGCAGTGGTGTGATCTCAGCTCACTGCAACCTTCGCCTCCCAGGTTCAGTGATTCCCCTGCCTCAACTTCCCAGGTATATGGGACTACAGGCGTGCGCCACCACGCCCAGCTAATTTTTTGTATTTTAGTAGAGACAGGGTTTCACCATGTTAGCCAAGATGGTCTCGATCTTCTGACTTCATGATCCGCCGGCTTCGGCCTCCCAAAGTGCTAGGATTACAGGCATGAGCCACCACGCCCGGCCAATATTTTCTTAATCAAAGAAATATATATCCAACCTACGAAACTACACTATTTCCTTTGGAAATAGTTCATGTTTGCAGAGTTGAAGGGGGTTGCCCTCAGGTAATTCAGAAGGAATCAGTGAAAGCTTCTCTGCTGGGGAGATCAAACTGCAGTTGGAGCACCCCAGGCCTCCCTGACCCCTCCTCACACCAATTCACAGGACTGATTCCGACAACGGGCAGAAGAGCATTTCCACTAACAACTGGTAAAGCTTGAGGTACCAGAGTTTGAAAGATGCAAGAATGGAGAGTTAGGACCCTTTCATCACATGAGGGCCATGGGATTTCCCAAGAGGGGAGGTGGGGACACCAGATTGAGGGGTGACTTGAAGAGAGGATGTGGGAGGAATCAGACAATGAGAGATTGAAGAGTCAGAGAAAGATGGGGAATGGATGTGTGTTAATGTGTATGGCAGGGCTGTCTTCACAAGCCTGAGACCTGGGCAGTCAACCTATGAGACTAGACTGTTACCTTTGGCAGAAAGTTAATGTTTGCAGTGCTGACAGGGGTTGCCCTTAGGTAATTCAGAAGGAATTACCTTCTAAGCACAGTGAAAGATTTTCTGTGTTTAGGAGTCCCCTACACTTGGTTTAATCCTCTAATTTGCTGTCTTTAAAATGTTTAATAATTCTTTTTTTTTTTTTTTTTTTGAAGACAAGGTCTCATTCTATCAACCAGGCTGGAGTGCAGTGGCGCACTCACTGCTCACTGTAGCCTTGACCACCTAGGCTCAAGCAATCCTCCCACCTTAGCCTCCAGAGTAGCTGGGACTACAAGCCCACCCCACCACACCCAGCTAAGTTTTTAAAATTTTTTCGTAGAGATGTGGTCTTATTCTGTTGCCTAGGCTGGTCTCAAATCCTGGGCCCAAGGGATCCTCCCACCTCAGCCTCCCAAAGTGTGGGAAGAGCCGCAGGGCGTGAGCCACTGTGTCTGGCCAATAATTATGTTTGAACAAGGGGCTTCACCATTCTATTTTGCACTGAGACCTGCAAATGATGTAGCTGATCCTGTGGGAGGCTTTCAAGAATCCAAATGAGTTGGCTTAAGTCACCACTCCTGCTTTGGATTGATGTTCTGTTACTAAAGTTAGTAACAAAACAAACTGTAGGCCGGGTGCAGTGGCTCACACCTGTAATCCCAGCACTTTGGGAGGCCGAGGTGGGCGGATCACTCGAGGTCAGGAGTTCGAGACCAGCCTGGCCAACATGATGAAACCCTGTTTCTCCTAAAAGTACAAAAATTAGCCAGGCATGGTGGCACACACCTGTAAATCCAGCTACTCAGAAGGCTGAGGAAGGAGAATTGCTTGAAACTGGAAGGTGGAGGTTGCAGTGAGCCAGGATCACACCACTATACTCCAGCCTAGGTGACAGAGGGAGACTCTGTCTCAAACAAACAAACAAACAAATTGTATTGAGAGAGCCAATTGGTAAAACTGATGTCGGAAACAGCCCCCTTAGCAGCCTGTGAGTCTCATCATGCTTGGGGTTACCCTTGGCTTTCCCATGGGGACCAACCCATGATCTGTCCCCTCCCCACTGGTGCACCACCAGGCGGAAAGCCCCACAAAGCAGCCAACATCCCTTCAAAGATGAGAGGTCCTCCACCTGACTTTCCTGATACTCCCCTCAGGATCACAGGGGATAATGCTCTTCCCCCACCGGCCAACTCACCATGACATAGAATGAAATGGCCCAGCTACAGCCTGGTAACCAAGGTAATGCCTTCATGTTAATTCCCATGAGATGGCCTTGTGTGGTTGCAATGGCCAGAGGAGATCCGTGTACTTCTTGGTTCTTTTGAAATAATTCCTCCCATTTCTCTCACTGCTTTCTGTCATTCACTCAACAGCCATTTATTGTTAGTTACTAGGTGCCAGAGTGTTCCACCTCTAATCCATCCAGCAAGATCTTAGCATGCCCTGCTACCCTTCAAAATAAAGGAGTGGACAGAGAAAGACCTGGAACAAGCAGGAGGGAAGGGGGCCCTGTAGAGTTTCATACTCCATTTCCCCCACCCACTTTTCAATTCAAAATTCAAATTCAGGCCAGGCATAATGGCTTATACCTATAATCCCAGCACTTTGGGAGGCCGAGGTGAGAGGATCACTCGAGGCCAGGAGTTTGAGACCAGCCTAGGCAACACAGCGAAACCCTTGTCTCCACACACACAAAAAGAAACATTAAAAATGACCTGGGCATAGTGGTGTGTGCCTGTAGTCCTAGCTCCTTGAGAGGCCAAGGCAGAAGGATCCCTTGAACCCAGGAACTCAAGGCTGCAATGAGCTGTGACTGTGCCACTTCACTCCAGCCTGGGTGACAGAGGGAGACCCTGTCTCTAAAAGAAAAAAAGAAAAATCCAAATTCAAAATCTTCTCCAAGTGAAGTACAAAGATAATGCAGTTGAGCTAATCCCTTGATGTAGTCAAAGACAGAGGAATCCTCACATGAGTATCCATTTCCAATACATTCTCTTGAATTTCTTTTCTGTTGTTGTTGTTTTGAGATGGAGTCTTGCTCTGTTGCCCAGGCTGGAGTGCAGTGGTGCGATCCTGGCTCACTGCAACCTCCGCCTCATGGGTTCAAGCAATTCTCCTGAGTCAGCATCCCGAATAGCTGGAATTATAGGTGTGCACCACCATGCCCGGCTAATTTTTGCATTTTTAGTAGAGATGAGGTTTCACCATGTTGGCCAGGCTGGTCTTGAACTCCTGACCTCAGGTGATCCGCCTGCCTTGGCCTCCCAAAGTGCTGGGATTACAGGCGTGACCCACTGCACCTGGCAACTCTTGATTTTTCTTTTTTTTTAAGATGGGGTCTCACTGTATTGCCCAGGCTGGTCTCAAACTCCTGAGCTCAAGCAATCCTCCCACCTCAACTTCCCGAATTGGGATTATGGGCATGTCAATATATTCTCAATGAAACAATTAGAATTATATAAAATAGAAAAAACAAATTGCCCCTTTATATCACATCTTCATTCTTTCATCTCTCCTCAACCATTGTGTGCATTCTCCCAGGCCTCTTCCTTAACATTTAAATTCAAATGTATGCATTTATATCTCACATATAACTTCTTAAAAAATGTAATGGGATCACAATGCACATAAGGTTCCAAATCTTACTCTTTATCTTAATGACTTCTATTTTCATTATAGCTTATGTAGGTCTACACAATTCTTTTTTACTAGTCGTACAGGGTTATATGGTGCAGGTATATCAGAGTTTATTTAACCATTCCATTATTGATATTTTGATGATGTACAGCAAATATTAGCAACAGTCCTATTCTGAGTATCTTTGTTAATACACATTATGCCCCTGGGCATATGTTTTGTCAGGAGAGAGGTCAAGAAGAATTTCCAGATCCTAGGTTATGCTTATTTGTGCAACTGCCAAGTTCCAAGTCAAAAAATCATCACCAGGCCGGGCGCGGTGGCTCACATCTGTAATCCCAGCACTTTGGGAGGCCAAGGCTGGTGGATCACCTGAGGTCAGGAGTTCAAGACCAGCCTGGCCAACATGGTGAAACCCTGTCTCTACTAAAAATACAAAAATTAGCCGGGCATGGTGGTGCACGCCAGTAATCCCAGCTACTTGGGAGGCTGAGGCAGGAGAATCACTTGAACCTGTCAGGCGGAGGCTGCAGTAAGCTGAGATCGTGCCACTGCACTCCAGCCTGAGCTACAAAGAAATTCCGTCTCCAAAAAAAAAAATCACCAATTTCTTCTCCCAACAACAGTGTGTGAATACGCCTTCTTCTCCAAATCTTTGCCAACATTTGTCACTGATCTTTCATTGCTGTTTCAATATTCACTTTGCTGATTACAAGTAAAGTGGAGTGTCTTTCAATTCATTTAATGGCTGCTTGCAGTCTATGAATTATCTGTTATATACTTTACATGTTTTTTCACTTCATCCTTAAAACAACAACCTTATGAGGTAAATACTATTATTATCTCCTTTTTACAGATAAAGAACTGAAGATCCAAAGCCAGAGAATGATAAAGTAACTTCAACCTGACACAGTAAAACATTGCAGGGAGAGTCCGGGATCTGGAATGAGAATGCCACGTCCAGGCTGTGTTACCTTACAAAAATTATTAATGCTTCAGTGGCCTCATCTGCAGAATGGAAATACCAATAATAGTAGCTATCTGATAAGGTTATTGTGGGGATAGTAGGAGACAATCCATAATAATGTTTGAGTAGTAGCTGGCACATTGTAGATACTCAACATACGCCAGCTATTATTGTTATAGAAAATATGCAGATCTGGAATAGCTTGGAAAATGTTTATGATACAATAACAAATTCAAAAGAAGTCTACTAAATACTGTGTATTTTATGATTGCAATTTTGTAAAAACTATATCTGCTTATGGAAAAAGATTTGAAGAAAATATGCTTATGTGAAAAGAATTTCTTACAGTGATGGGATTACGTGTAGCTTTATTTATTTATTTGAGACCAGGTCTCACTCTGTTGCCCAGGCTGCAATACAGTGGTGTGACACCAGCTCCCTGAAACTCCTGGGCTCAAGTGATCCTCCTGCCTCAGCCTCTTGAATAACTGGGACTACAGGCATGTGCCACCATGCCCGGCTAATATTTAATTTTTTTGTGGAGACAGAGTCTCCCTATGCTGCCATGCTGGTCTTGAACTCCTGGGCTCAAGCGATCCTCCAGCCTCAGCCTCCCAAAGTGCTGGGATTATAGGCGTGAGCCATTGTGCCCAGTCATGTGTAGCTTTTTAATGCTTTTATATCATTCTATAATGAACAAGAAAGGGAGAGAAGAAAGAAAAGGAAGTAAATTCTGTGGACTTTGCCCTTGAAGGTGTGAAGGAGGTTCACAAGCACTTTCAGACCAGTGCCATACCTTTAAAGGGGCTATCTGGCCATGCTTTCTTCTCTCCAAAGGCACACTGGTGGCTTTGTCTCCTTCATTCATTCATCCATTTGTTTACTAGGTGTATGTGGAGAGCTTCTTATGTGCTAGACACCATTCTATGCATGAGCTATACAATGGCAAACAGGACAGTGAATCCTGATTGCTAATGAAGAAGTTAGGCAATAACTCCCCCAAATGTAAACAAGAAATGATCAGATAGTAATAACAGCTATGCAGAGAATTAAAATATGAGCTATGATAATTGCTGGCGTATGGATATTTTAGATTCGTGGCCAAGGAAGGCTTCTCTGAGAAGGTAGCACTTAATTGATGACAAGAAAGACTGACCTAGGAAAACCAGGAGAAGAATATTCTAAAGCATTAACAGCACGCTCGAGGACTCTCAGGCAGAAACTCACTTGGTAGGGATAAGGCACGAAGAAAGGCTAAAGTGTGGCTGGAGGGTGGTGGCCAAGGGTGAGAGCAGAATGAGATGAGGTTGGATCATGGGAGGCTTCGTGGAAGAGGGTAAGAAGTTTAGGATTTTATTCAAAGTGGAGTGGAAAGTCATTGGAAGACTTTAAGTAAGAAAGTGATTTAATCAGATTCATGTTTTTAGAAAGATCCTTCTAGCTGCCATATGGCAAATGGATTGCAGAGATATTGGAAACAGAAACAGCAGTTATAAGAACACTGCAGTGATCCAGGCAGTGATGACCAGGGATTCAATTAGAGTGTTGGCAATGAAGAAGTAGATAAGTGGGTGTCGGGATATCTTTTGGAGGCAGAAGTTACAATACTTGCTGAAGGATTGGTCATGGTGCCTAGTAAAACAGAGAAATCAAGGATAATTCTAGATTTTTGGCTTGAGGGTAACCAGGTGCTGTTTACTTTGGTGGAGAAAATTGGAGTAGAAGCAAACTTGGGGGGAGGGGAGTGGATTAATAATCTTATTAATTTTTTTACAAGTAAAAATGTCAAACAAAGAGTTGATTATATGAGCCCGGATTTGCAGAGAGAGCTCAAAGCAAGAATAGCAAGTTTGAAAATCTCCATACATGGATGGTATTCAAACCAGGAGATTGGTGGGCTCACCCAGGTGGATTGTAGATGCAGAAGAGAAGAGCTCAGGATTGCATCCTAGGTCTTCTAAAGTTGAGAGGTTAAGTAGAAAATAAAGAATAACAAAAAAGAGACTGAGAAGGAACAGCCAGTGAAGCAGGAGGAACATCAACAAGTGAGATTTCATAAAAGCCAGGAGAAGAAAATGTTTCGAGAAGAGGGGCACACAGGTAGGCTTTGTGGAATGTCACTAAAACATCGAGTGTGATAAGAACTAAGAAAAGGTGAGCCGGGCATGGTGGCTCATGCCTGTAATCCAGCACTTTGGGAGGCTGAGGTGGATGGATCATGAGGTCAAGAGTTCGAGACCAGCCTGGCCAACATAGTGATACCCCTTCTCTACTAAAAATACAAAAATTAGCCGGGCATGGTGGCGTGCGCCTGTAATCCCAGCTACTCGGGAGGCTGAGACAGGAGAATCACTTGAACCCAGGAGATGGAGGTTGCAGTGAGCCAAGATCGCACCACTGCACTCCAGCCCAGGAAACAGAGCGAGACTCTGTCTCAAAAAAAAAAAAAAAAAAAAGAACTAAGAAAAGGCCATTGGATCTGGCAACAGAGGGATCACTGGGTTTTATCACAGACAGTGTGAATGTTAAAGACATTGCCATTTGAAGCCCAGTGGGACTGGGTTTGAATTTTAGTTCTACCACTTACTAGCTGTGAGAGCTTAGATGTGCTACTTAACCTGTCTATAGCTTTCGATAATGACATTTACATTATTGAATTGTAAAGTTTGAGGGAGGTAAAGTTTATGAAATTGCAAGCACTTAATAGGCACTCATTGGTTTCCATTTTTTAGGCAGCGTAGGAAAGTCAGGGACCTTGGGATAGCCCCAGGGAAGAGGTCCTTGTGTGCTTGGATTCTGTTTTTGAAGCTGCAGTAGTGTGTGTTGTCAAAGCAAAGCAAAGAGTTATTGACCCAGAGATCTGAGAGCTGGAGCAGCTGACTCTGTCCAAGAAGGAGATGAGGGCAGATTTCTACGCTTAGGTCCCACACTGAGCTCTTCTTGCTTTTAGGCCTGACCTCAAGCATCCTTGCTAATGAAACCCTAGGTCATGAGGTTTCCCTCTAGTCAATCACTATGCTCGCTGTAGTTTAGCTCTGGGCTGAGCAGGATGAATTGAGGCTAAGAGTGACTGCCTCTGTGCCTAAAACCTTGAGCACTGTGTTCTGAGGAAAATTTGTGTTTACAGTAATGCCCCTGTGACTTGGATGAGTTTCCAGGACTTGTGAGACATCCCAGACCCTGTGCTAAGAAAACCATGGTTCCTACAGCCCTTGCATGGGGAAAGTGGATCAAATACAGCAGGGGGAGCTCATTTCAGGGCCATATTTGTGCTGTCTTCCTCCTTGTTGCTGTGACTATGGAATGGAAGAAGGCAGAAACAAGGGGTCATTATCTACAGGGCAGTGAGCAAGTGTTGGGTTTAGTTCTTGTCCCAAATGGTCAGGTCCACAGTCATCCAGTTCTTAGTCACAGGAGTTACAGGTAATGCCAAGGGCTGAGTAGGGAAACTGCTAAGAGATAGAAATGAAACTGAGTGCCAAGAAAGCAGAGAACACCTAGGACAGGGAGGGCAAATAAGGGCACACTGGCAGCCACCCCACCCTCTTGGGACCAGGCGAGACATGCTAATCTATCACAACTTCTTCCTGCTGAAACCTCTGACTCTACCCCTAATTCTAACCTGAACACATCCCAACATAGAGCTCCATGTAGCCACTTTCAATAATTTGGCCTTGATTTACAAGACAGACTTAGTATAATATTCTTGACTTAGGACTATTTTACTTATCTCTCTAACTGGCACCGAATTAACTTTTTATAGCCTGAGTACAGGAATGCCCCATGGTGTTTTTGTTTTGTTTTGTTTTGTTTTCTAAGACAGAGTCTCGCTCTATCACCCAGGCTGGAGTGCAGTGGCGCGATCTCAGCTCACTGCAACCTCTGCCTCCTGGGTTCAAGGGATTCTCGTGCCTCAGCCTCCCAAGTAGCTGGAACTACAAGCACGTGCCACCACACCCGGCTAATTTTTGTATTTTTAGTAGAGACGGAGTTTCACCATGTGGGCCAGGCTGGTCTCAAACTCCTGGCCTCATATGATCCGCCCACCTTGGCCTCCCAAAGTGTTGGGATTACAGGCGTGAGCCACTGCGCTGGGCCTTCCATGGTGTTTTAAATAGCACTTGACCATCATCTTTGATCCTTCATTATATTATTTTAGGAGATGATTGGGTTTTGGAATTCACCTTTCATGGGCATCTAGAGCAATTCTTTTCAACCTTCACTCTGCATATATGATCTGGGTAAATGCAGAGTCTGATTCAGTAGGTGTGGGGTGAGACCTGTGTTTGTGTATTGCTAACAAGCTCCTAGGTGGTACCAATGCAACTGAACTGTTGTCCACACTTTGAGCAGCAAGGAAATAGACTCACTGGAGAGGAGAGGAAATTTTCAGACAAATAAGAGCCTAATAGAGCTCACAGTGTTCTAGAGAAAACTTGGCAAGATCCTGCAGCCACCTGGACAAGCAATCTGGGATGAGGTAACTCTCCAGGCAGACCCATGTTATGAAAGTAGCTTGAGGAGAATACACACTCCGACCTCCCATCACCCTATGTGCAAGTTGCAGTTCGTGAGCAGGGGTGGGTGATGGCTGCTGGGCAGCTTGCCTAGTCACCTGGGAGAAGAGGCAGAACGGGGGCTGGCAGAAGACTTCTTAGAGTTAACTGGGATCAGGACAGGATAAGGGGGAAACCATAGTCTCCTAGGGGTGAGGACGGTAGCCAGGGGGCTATGCCCTTTACATTGGTGGAGCCACAGTAAACCAACTAGAGACAACCTCTGTAACTGAGTTCCCTCCCTCCCTCCTTTCCTCCCTCCTTTGCTCCCTCCCTTCCTTCCTTCCTTCCTTCCTGTTATTATTTTTTTGAGACAGGGTCTCACTCTGTCATCCAGGCTGGAGTGCAGTGATAATCACAGCTCACTGCAGCCTCAACCTCCGGGGCTCAAGCGATCCTCCTTCCTCAGTCCCTCACACTTCCAACCCCTGGGGTTTTGCCAGCCCAAGCTGTTCTCAAAGTCCTGGGCTCAATTGATCCACCCACCTCGGCCTCCCAAAGTGCTGGGATTACAGGCATGAGCCACCATGCCTGGCTCTTATTTTCCTTCTCACTCAGTTTTCTGCAGAGCGTATCAGTTAGGGCAGCCTCTCTGCCAGAGAGGAGAAATTGGTTTAGAATTGGTTTGTTTCTTGGTTCTTTCCATGTACATATTTCATCTTGGGTAAAACTCTGGCTAGACTTAAAGAATATTTAGATAAGTGCCTGAGGAGTAGAGTTATAGTTGGTTATTAAAGAGGGTAGAGAAGAAGGTTGGAGAAGAGCTACCACCACTCAGACATGGGCCTCCTTGAGGACCCTCATACAGGGTTGTGCCAATGTGGCAGGATGGTGTGATAGAAGAGGTACAGTGCCAGATTTAAATCTCAACTCCTTACTTATTACCTCTATGGCCTTAAGAAAGTGACTCAACTTCTCTGAATTTTGTTTTCCTCATCTATAAAATATTATCTCCTTGCAGAGCTAAATGTCAGAATTAGGTTGGGCACAGTGGCTCATTCCTGTCATCCCAGCACTTTGGAAGGCCAAGGCAGGTGGATCACTTGAGGTCAGGAGTTTGAGACCAGCCTGGCCAACATGGCAAAACCCCGTTTCTACTAAAGATGCAAAAACTAGCCAGGCATGGTGGCACATGCCTGTAGTTACAGCTACTAGGGAGGCTGAGACAGGAGAATCTCTTGAACCTGGGAGGCAGAGGTTGCAGTGAGCCAAGATCGTGCACTGCACTCCAGCCTGGGCAAAAAACAAACAAACAAAAACAAAACAAAACAAAAAACGAATTAAATGAGGCAATGGATGTACGAGCACTGAACATTTTATGAAGGCAAGGCCTGCCTTATCCCCGGCACTCACATATGGTGGCTCCCTTCCCAGCTCCACTGTGCACCTTGCCTCTAACAGCACAGTCCCAGCTGTTTCTGAAAAGCTGCGCAAGAGAGCAGCTGACTTCACCCAGTCTCTGCTGGACCACCTTCCTCTTCCATCCCCCTGGCAGCTAAGAGGAAACACATGTGTCTCCTCAACTGTAAAATGGAGATGGTGAGGTCCACTCCCAGGATCTTGTAAGAGTATCATGAAGCCCTGGATTTCTAAGTATCTATGGTGGTCATATATCATGGTATGACCAGAATAGTCCCAGTGCATATCTGATGTCCTAGTGTCCTGTTTAGCAATTTGGCTCTAATTTGGATAATAAAGTATAAACTTAAAAACTTTAAAGAGCTGTGCGAATACCAAGCAGTGTACATTGTATTTATGGGTGGAAGCTATTGCTGCTAACTGTAAACTAAGTCAGGAAAAGAAAGGAGTTAAAATGGTTTTCTTCTCACCCAAAATACTTAACTGGGCCCCCTTTTCCAACCCTTGCATTGTGGGTACAAGAGGAAACCCAAGGAGTTTGGATGGCTGAAGGGAGCCTCAGGAGCAGGGAAATCCCAGCAGAGGGGCACACTCCCAGTTCTTCCTCCACCTGTGTCCACCATCAGCCACCCACTCCCTCCCAACCCTGCCCTTTGGCCACTGACTCATTCCCATTCAGGCCTAGACCTGTGCTCGGTGCATAGTCTCCACTCTCCCTCTGCCAGTGAGGATGGCAAATATTGTCCTGAGAATGTGAAACCCACATGGGCCTCTCAGAGGCCCGATCCTGGCTCGGTCTCCTGGATTGCTCAAGCATTCCTCCTCTTCCTCCCCCTCTCCTCCTTCTTCTCTCTCTCTCTCTCTCACCTCTTATGGAAGCTATTTGGTGATTGAGCAATGCTCTGGAATAACTAGGTCAAGTCAGGCCTGTGCAGGGAGGAGGAGACAATTGGACTGTGTAGGTGGCTGTGTATCAAGCAGCAGCCAATACACCATTAACCAAACAGGAAAATCTAGAACATCCACACACTGACTACTCAGTGGCCTGTTACTTGCTGGGTCAAGCCCAACTCCACTCAGAAATTGTACCTTTCCTTACCACGTCCCTCTAACTCCTTCATTGCATCTCCCTCCACTCCCCAGCATGACCCTAGTCTCCAATCCCACTGGACTTCCCAGTGCCCGTGACTCTGTGCCTTTTCCATGCTGTTCTTTTTCCTGGCAGGTTTCTCTCCCTTTCTATTGCTCTGAAAATCCCTACTCCAACATCTGTTTCTCTAAGAGCATTTCCCGCACTCTCCCAGGCCGATTTAGTTGCTTTCTCCTCTCTCTTCCCAAAGCACAGCACTTGTGTTTCCATTAATGCTTTGCAGACTCGTCTCCCAACTCATCAGTCTGTGAGCTACTCAAGGGAGGAACCATGTCTTGCTCATCTTTGTATTTTAGAGCCCGTCACAAGATTGACCTTGTGTGAAGTGCTTAGTAAATGCATGTCAAGTCGATGAATGAAAGAATGAGTAATGGAAACAGGGTTGGCTGTTGGATCCAGATACCTTGATTTGTGCCCCAGGTCTACCAGTGACCACTGTGTGATCTCGGCCAAGCCACGTAACCTCTCCTGACCTCAGACACCTCACCGGTAGAGTGGTAATGACAACACCTATGCTACCGGCCTCGTATGGCTGCAGTGAGGACCCAATGACATCATTTATGGAAAAGCACCTTATAAGCTGAAAAGGGGGAAGCACACATCCTAACACCGTGAAGTTTACTGGACTGATTGGACCTCAAAGCTCACACTGCTGAGCAAGGTGAGTGTTGGAAAAAGAGGCCTCCTGCTCTAGGAACTCGCCAAAAACCTGTCAGCAGGAGAATCTTTCAGAGCAAGCACAAAGACAGATGCATGTGCTTACACGGAAATGTGTTTTTAACAAATATAACATGAGAATGGAATTCTTTTCTCCCTACATCCAGCCTTGATAGCTAATTAATTCCACCTGGAGGAGGGAGCCAGGCATTGGGTAAGGAACAGTCCTTATTCCATGTTTGGGAAAGAATTTACGGTAGCTCTCTCATGAGGATCTGGGGAAAGGCAAAGCATAAACCAAGTCACTGGGATTTTTTAATTGTAGTTGTTGTTTTTGAGATGGAGTTTTGCTCTGTGGCCCAGGCTAGAGTGCCCAGGCTGGTGTGACCTTGGCTCACTGCAACATCCACCTTCCGGGTTCAAGCGATTCTTCTGCCTCAACCTCCTGTAGCTGGAACTACAGGGATGCACCATCATGCCCGGCTGATTTTTTGTATTCTTAGTAGAGACAGAGTTTCACCATGCTGGCCAGGCTGATCTCGAACTCCTGGCCTCAAGTGATCTGCCCACCTCCGCCTCCCAAAGTGCTGCGATTACAGGCGTGAGCCACCAGACCCAGCTAGGTCACTGGTTTTGAAGGATCTCAAAGATGATCAAGTCTGACCTCATAATTTTACTGGCAACTCAGGAAGGAGATATGATTAGCTCAAGAAACTGGTGAATGACAGAGTTGGGCATGATCTCCCAACTCCCTTTCCACTGCTCTTTCTCCTATAGACAAAGTCTCCTGACCCCAGAGCAGCATGGCATTTCTTAGCCAGAGTCTGTTGGTGGTTGCTAGATTGGACAGGTGGGGACAAGGTTAAGTAGCCAAGGAAATACTCTTTAGAGAAGGTGTCATTCTCCTCTCAGCAAATATTGTGCCCAAATAAATACTTTCCAATTCATGACCCTTGGCATTCTCTTGTCTTGCTTTTAATAATAATCCTCACTTTCTCAGATCTCAGATGCTTTTGAGACATTTATCTCTTCAATACGACGTTTATAAATTGCCTTTGAATGCACTGAGTACCTGAATAGCTGCTGAGCACTGTGCTGGACTCTGCCGCAATGAGAAGCAATGTCCAAAACTGCAATGAAGGGTGCTGTGGACTGGTCCCTGGGTAATCAGGATTCGAGTTCCTTTACCCTGCTACCAACTTTCTGGGAGAACTTAACAAGGCATTTGCATTCTCTGAACCTCAGTTTTCAAATCTGTAAAATAAGGCCAAACTCTTTCCCAGTTTCAAGTCTATGATATTAGCTGGTATTCTCAATGCTCATTGGACAAGGATAGGATGTGGCATTCGGATTTATTTTATTACTTCAAATGTCATCCCTAACACAGGCTATGAGGCATATGGTAGGGTGGGATCAGGGATTGTGTTCAAGACCTTTAAAATATTTGAGCAGTATGTTAAGCAGAAGAGCAGTGTCAGCTGGGAACCAAGTGACAAGTCCACTTACCTCTCATCTCTGTGAACTGTACTCCTCCCATCTCTGTCTTGTTCTCTAGGAGTCAAGGAAAAGAATCCTTGGCCTTGGTCTTGGCCTCAGTCACCTTTTTTGGTTTAATGTTACTCCAGTATTAACTGTTTTGTCTTCTAGTTGCTGTTTTTGACTTTGTCCTCATCTTCTGCCCTGGTCATCTCATCAACACCCACATCTCAACAACCACCGCCTTGATGCTGAGCATTCTCAAGCCTATTCTCCTGGTCCAGAACAAAACCGTATATTCTTTCCCTTGGATGTTGCCTCTGAGCTTCAGACATACTCCCAACATCTCCTCCTGAGTGTCTTGCAGTCCTGTCCCATTCAACGTCCCCTCCCCATACCCACCCCAAGGCTATTGATTCTCTCCCTGTCTCCCCGTCTTGGCAGTGACACCACCACTCAACTAGTTGAATAAGCAAAACCTTGGAAATCATCCTCGATGCCTCTCTTGTCCCACCTGCCGCAGCCATCAGTTAATTAATCCTGTAGGTTCTCGTTCCTTAACCAGCTCATATCCCTCCCTCTCTTCCTATTTCCACGAGTTTTGCCCCAGTTCCTTCCTTAGCATCTCTCACCTGGACCCTACACGAGCCTCTTACCTTGTTGAAAGAGACTTCCTTAGAATCTCTCCTTTCAATCTATCCTCCACGCTGGAGCTAGGAGCAGTGGACTGCATCCTGGACATTGGAATCACCTGGAAAGTGTCAGCCCGTGGATGCCTGGGTTCTATCCCAGAGATTCTAATATAATTGGTCTAGGGTGTGGCCCCATATGATAATTAAATATTCCTTGGATGATTTGAACGTAGTCAAGGTTGAGGGCTACTGTGCTAAAATAATCTTTCTAAAACTACTTGCAGGATAAGGTCTAAACCTCATAACCAGCTTTATCAAACTGTTCCCAGCCAGGTCAGAGCCTTTCTCATCTATTAATTTAACTTCCCAGGTGATTCCAATGTGCACACAAAGACAAGGCCACTGTGCGTAACTACAGCATGGAGGAGAAAGTGGTTGGATTGAGACTTAGAGGCAAGGAGGCCTTTAGGAGGCTAATGCAGTGGTTCAGGTGAGCAGTAAAGAGTCAAGAACAAGAACAGAATCAATGGGAAAGAGAGCTCTGCTTGGCTGGGCACGGTGGCTCACGCCTATACTCCCAGCACTTTGGGAGGCCGAGGTGGGTGGATCACTTGAGATCAGGAGTTCGAGACCAGCCTGACCAACATGGCAAAACCCGTCTCTGCTAAAAATACAAAAATTAGCTGGGTGTGGTGGCAGGTGCCTGTAATCCCAGCTACTTGGGAGGCTGAGGCACGAGAATCGCTTGAACCCAGGAGGTGGAGGTTGCAGTGAGCCGAGATCGTGCCACTGCACTCCAGCCTGGGTGACAGAGCAAGACTCAATCTTGTAAAAAAAAAAAAAAAAAAGAGAGAGAGAGAGAGAGCTCTGCTTACCCTTTTGACCTCCCTCAAGGCCAGATGCATAATTAGTAAATATGTTCCTGGATGCAGACTCCAAGGTATCTTTTCCCAATTCCACTTGGTTGTACATCCTTCCAGCAAGGGAGTGAGTTTGCCTAAGCAAGTATAACACTTTATCCTCCTAGTGAAAGGGAGGGTGGCAAGGGACAGCCTGATGCTACAGAGGCCCTAGTAAACGATTGTGCATCTACACTAAGTCTCAACGGTGGTATGAAACAGTTCTTTACTTTTCATTGAGTAGCCCCCTGCTCATTCTGAGCCCACCTAAGCTAGACATTGAAATTGTCTTCCTCTCTTCGGTTGCCCCTTTTTCTTTCTACCTCACAATCCTCATGTTTTTGTTTTTGATTTTTAAATGTCTCTGCCCCCCTGACCCTATGGGTTCTGCTCCTCCTCCTGGCTGTGATTCATGCTCAGCCAATTGGGATTCCTGCTCAGCCAATTGGGTGCATCTGATTTTCCCCTTGGCTGAGCTGGTGGGGGTGAGGTTTGGGGACTCTTGGAAACCAGGTCTGTGTGATTCCACAGTCCATGATCTCTCCACTGTACCAAGCATCCTTTAGTAACTTTTGTTTTTCTGATACATCAAGCCTCTTCCAAGAGCTATCTAATCTGAAGAGTATGAGGTCAGGAAGCAGATGTGCAGGGGTGAGCATTTCCAAAGCCTTATGTTTTCCAGGTTGACGTCGTGCTGTGAGGGGTCACAGTTCTCGTGGGATTTCTCAGAGGAGCATTTTCTTCGAGGAGCATTCATTAGAGGCAGGATGGGGGAGTAGAAAGCACAGGGTTAGAAAATAGTAGAATGGCCAGGCACGGTGGCTTACGCCTGTAACCCCAGCACTTTGGGAGGCTGAGGTGGGTGGATCACCTGTGGTCAAGAGTTTGAGACCAGCCTGGCCAATATGGTGAAACCCCGTCTCTACTAAAAATACAAGAAATTAACCAGGTGTGGTGGCAGGCACCTGTAATCCCAGCCACTTGGGAGGCTGAGGCAGGATAATTGCTTGAACCCAGGAGGCGGAGGTTGCAGTGAGCCGAGTTGTGCCATTGCACTCCATCCTGGGCAACAAGAGTGAAACTCTGCCTCAAAAAAAAAAAAAAAAAGAAAGAAAGAAAGAAAAAAGAAAGAAAATAGTAGAACTGCAAAGAGTTCTGAATAACAGGCTAGGTCAACTTGAGAAAGTCACTGGCCGTCTTTGAGCCTCATTTTTCTTGTCAATTACTAGAGGTAATACATATGCCTTTGTTCAGTTTACTGTGAAGATCTTATGAAGGAATGTCTGCAAAAGTGCTTTGTAAACTGTGAAGAACTCTGAATACATGTGGCATTATTATTCTGTGTGCAAATGCAAACAACGGATGCCTGGAAGTGAATCGTGAGATTGATGCCTTGGTTTGAAATGTGAAAACTGACCAGGCGATGGACTCATCAAGTGGTTCATATGGTTTGCTAACAAGGGATCATAATTTGTCTTGGGCCATCCAAAAACCCCTGTAAAACAATACTGTGCAGGCTGTAATCTTCACTAGACTAAGATGCATAGGCATGATACCCAGATTTACAACATATTGTCTGTTTTGCAATTTTAAAATGTAAAACCAGATTTTGGAAAGAAATGTTTTTCTCTCCCAGCCAAGCAGCACAGCCAAAGAAAAACAAAATCCGGCCAGATGCAGTGGCTCACGCCTGTAATCCCAGCACTTTAGGAGGCCGAGGCAGGCAGATCACCTGAGGTCAGGAGTTCGAGACCAGCCTGGCCAACATGGTGAAACCCCATCTCTACTAAAAATACAAAAATTAGCCCGGCATGATGGCAGGCACCTGTAATCCCAGCTACTCAGGATGCTGAGGCAGGAGAATCACTTGGACCTGGGAGGCAGAGGTTGCAATGAGCCGAGATCGTGCTACCGCACTTCAGCCTGGGCAGCAGAGCGAGACTCTGTCTCAAAAAAGAAAGAAAGAAAGAAAAGAAAAACAAAATCTAAGGGAAAAGATCCAGTGGGTGCTTCTAGAGTCCAATCCAGGTTGGCAAGCCTGTGTGTCCACAGATATGAGACAGTAAAGGTGACACGCCAGTGGGGAGTGAGGTGTGCTGGGCTTCTGAAGGCAGCAGCTACCGGACGCCAGTCTGTTGTGGCCATGAAGGAATCAGGGCTGAGTGTGCCAGATTTTCTGATTTTTCAGGAGAAGCTGGAAATCTAGGATTTTGTATTTACATGTCTATGAAATTTCTTTTTCTTTTTTTTTTTTTTTTGACAGTTTTGCTCTTGTCACCCATGCTGGAGTGCAATGGCATGATCTTGGCTCACTGCAACCTCCGCCTCCCGGGTTCAAGCAATTCTCATGCTTAAGCCTCCTGAGTAGCTGGCATTACAGGCACACACCACCACACACAGCAAATTTTTGTATTTTTAGCAGAGACAGGGTTTCACCACGTTGGTCATGCTGGACTCGAACTCCTGGCCTCAGGTGATCCGCCTGCCTTGGCCTCCCGAAGTGCTGGGATTACAGGCTTGAGCCACTGCACCTGGCTTGAAATTTCCATTTTTTAAATGTTGTCAGCTGGGCGTGGCAGCTCATGCCTGTAATCCCAGCACTTTGGGAGGCCGAGGCAGGTGGATCACCTGAGGTCAGGAGTTCGAGACCAGCCTGACCAACATGGTGAAACCCCCATCTCTACTAAAAAAATACAAAAATTAGCCACCCGTGGTGGCACATGCCTGTAATCCCAGCTACTCAGGAGGCTAAGGCAGGAGAATCGCTTGAACCCGGGAGGCAGAGGTTGCAGTGAGCCAAGATGGCACCACTGCACTCCAGCCTGGGTGACAGAGCGAGACTCCATCTCAAAAAAAAAAAAAAAAAGTTGTCAGTTGAAGACATTTAAAACACCTGATGGGCCAACCTAAATAGCTGTGCTGATTGTGTTCAGCTCTCAGGTCACCTTCCTATAAGCTCTCAGGTCACCTTCTGCTCTCTACTACCTATCTGTGCATTAGAACTACCTGAGGAGGTTTTAGTTACCTTAGATTGTTCGTTTGTTTGTTTTTCACAGGGTCTAGCTCTATCTCCCAGGCTGGAGTGCAGTGGCATTATCATACCTCACTGTAACCTCGAACTCCTGGGCTCAAGCAATCCTCCCCACTTGGTGTCCTCAGTAGCTAGGACTACAGGAATACACCACCACATCTGGCTAATTTTTTTTTTTTTTAATTTTTCATAGAGTCAGTGTCTCACTATGTTGCCCAGGCTGGTCTCGACTCCTGGCCTCAAGCGATCCTCCCACCTTGGCCTCCCAAAACGTTGAGAATACAGGCATGAGCCACTGTGCCTGGGCTTGGGGAGGTTTTAGAAATGCCAGTGCTCAGGCTTTACCCCAGACCAATGATATCAGAATATCTGTGGGTGTGACTCAGGCGTTTGTGTACATCAGAGCTGATGAGGCGATGCCAGTATTCAGCCAAGTTTGAGAGCAGTTTTTTAGAGCCTTTCTACCTCAAATCTAGGCCTCAGACTGGCAGCGTCAGCTCCTCCTGGGTGTTTGTTAGGATCTCTATGGATAGGCTAGGAATATGTGTTTTAACAAAGAATCACAGATCAGGTCCTGTGCCTCAAGCTGTAAGGTGCATCTTATTAAAATGAAGACTCAGCATGCTGGAGGCGGGACCTGAAATTCTGCATTTCCTCAGAGCTACCACTCTTGCACTTTCAGTGCAAAGACCACACTCTGAGTAGCATGAGTGTAGATTAGCAGTTGGCAAACCACAGTTCCATGGACCAATTCCGGCCTGTTTTTGTGTGGTCTGGAAGCTAAAAATGATTTCTGCATTTTTAAATGGTTGGAAAAAAAAATCAACAGAAGAACATTTCGTGACTCATGAAAATTAGATGAAATTTAAATATAGCTATCCATAAATGAAGTTTTACTGGAACGCAGCCATGCCTATTCATTTACATGTTGTTTGTGGCCGCTTTTGTGCTACAATGGCAAAGTTAAGTAGTTGACAAAGAGATCACATGAATCACCAAACCTAAAATATTGACTGTTTCGCCACTGCAGAAAACTCTGCCAACTCCTGCTCTAGCTGGTTAGCCAGAGGCTGGCCTCTCTATATCCCTGCTTTGCCCTTTATCTGGCTAGCCATATGACTCTGTGACTCCTGGGCAAGTTGCTTCATCTAATTAAGCCTCACTTTCTCCTTCTGTAACATGGGCATCATAGCTCCTACCTCTTGATCTGATTGGATTCGAGGTGGGAGTGTTTCTGAATGTGTTTGGTCTTCTTGGCTCATAGCAGGTATTCTGCACTTTGTTTGCTTTGCTCTCTCTGTGTGGGCATTTCCTTTACCTAGATATCGCCATGGCACCTGCTTATAGGGAGCCTCTAGAGGGGTGCTTCTATGGAGCATTTATGATTTAGGGGCTGGAAAAGTGTCATATTGACTATACAAAAACAGGATGGCAGCTGGGCATGGTGGCCCACGCCTGTAATCCCAGCACTTTGGGAGGTCGAGGTGGGGAGATCACCTGAGGTCAGGAGTTCGAGACCAGCCTGGCCAACATGGCAAAACCCCATCTCCATTAAAAATGTAAAAAAATTAGCCCGGCATGGTGGTGTGTGTCTGTGGTCCCAGCTGCTCGGGAGGCTGAGGCAGGAGAACCACTTGAACCCGGGAGGCGGAGGTTGCAGTGAGCCAAGATCACACCACTGTACTCCTGTCTCAAAGAATAAACAAACAGAACAAAAACAGGGTAGCATCAGAAATGCTGTCCAGTCCCCCTCCCTATGTCTCTGGGATTAGTTCTTCCTGTATATCTCCAGCGTCACCCATGCAGCTCAGCCCCAGTTACCAGTTACCTACTGTACCGGTTACCAATGTATGTCTCTCAGTGCCAAATCCACCCTTCTTTGCCCTCCTTTCTGATACTAGGACTAGACCGTATAGGTATTTCTCCTTTGCCAATGGGTTCGGCATTAGGCTTTGTCAATAGAGAGCATGGGGGGACACTGCCAGGCCAGAGTAAGAGGGTAGGAATTCCCTTCCTGCCTCTGGAGTGATGCTTTTTGGCAAGGGAGCCATACAGTCCATCACCATGCAGCCCAATAGCACCTACAGCTCTCTTGAGCTGGCTCTAACATGTGACCTTCAACAATTTCTCTTTCCCCAGAGGCTGCTCCTATTAACTGAATCCAGCCGGCCTGTACCTTCTGGTGCCTTCTTCTGCCACTTGGAAGGCTATTCCTCTGCATTAGCTTTGGCCTGTACCCTGTGGCAAGTTTCTTTGCCACCTGCAGTTTGCATAATGCTGTGGCAGCCAGTTGCTCTCTAAAGAGATTTTTTTTTTTTTGAGATGGAGTCTTGCACGGTTGCCCAGACTGAAGTGTAGTGTTCGCAATCCCAGCTCACTGCAACCTCCGCCTCCCGGGTTCAAGTGATTTTCTTGCCTCAGCCTCCCGAGTAGCTGGGATTACAATCATGTGCCACCACGCTCAGCTAATTTTTGTATTTTTGCTAGAGATGGGGTTTCACCATGTTGGCCAGGCTGGTCTCAAACTCCTGACCTCAAGTGATCTGCCTGCCCCAGCCTCCCAAAGTGCTAGGATTACAGGCACGAGCCACTGTGCCTGGCCTAAAGAGATTTGAATCTCAGCCTTGGAAGGAGAGGGATGGCAGGCGAATAGGGAACCTTCTAAGTTTTTGATTCTTTCCTTGTTCACTCTCTTTCAGCTTTAGAGGGAGTTGCTACTCTCTGTACTTGCTACTCTATATCCTTTAGAGTTCTCTTTTATACTTTTGAATAATTAACCACATTTTACTAGTTAAAAGTCCTTTATCATTATAGGAGTTGCCTGGAATAATCAACCTTATAGAGATAGAAAGTAGAATAGTGGCTAGGCACGGTGGCTTACACCTGTAATCCCAGCACTTTGGGAGGCTGAGGCGGGCACATCACCTGAGCCCAGGAGTTTGACCAGCCTGGGCAACCTGGCAAAACCCATCTCTACAAAAAATACAAAAAAAATAGCCAGGCATGGCATTGCATGCCTGTAGTCTCAGCTACTTGGCATGCTGAGGCAGGAGGAGTGCTTGAGCCTGGGAGGTGGAGGTTGCAGTGAGCCAAGATCGTGCCGCTGCACTACAGCCTGGGTGATGGAGCAAGACTCTGTCTTAAAAAAAAAAAAAATCCCAGAACTTAAAGTATAATTAAATAAAACAAACAGAAAGAGACATTAACAAAAAAAGAATAAAAAAGAAAGAAAGAAGGAAAGAAAGAAAGTAGAATAGTGATTACCAGGATCTGGGAAAGGATGGCAGTGGGCAGCTTTGTGTTTAACGGGAACAGAGTTTCAGTTCTAGAGATAAAAAAGTTCTAGAGCTGGATAGTGGTGATGGTTGCATAAGAATGTGAATGTACTTAATGCCACTAAACTGTACACTTAAAAATGGTTAAGATGGAGCCGGTGTGATGGCTCATACGTATAATCTCAAATCTTTGGGAGGGTTAGGAGAGGGAATTGCTTGAAGCCCGAGTTCAAGACCAGCCTGGCAATAAAATGAGACCCTGTCTATTAAGAAAAAAAAGTTTTAAGAAATGGTTAAAATCATTGTTTTCATGTTATGTATAATTTATCATAATTTTTAAAAAGATCTTTAAATTAAAATTTCAAATCACATATATGCTTTCTGTCTCCTGTCTGGGCCTTGGCTGACACACCAGGCCATTGCAGCAGCCTCCTCAATGGCCTCGCCTCCTCTCCTTCTGGCCTCTCTCTATAATGCATCTTTCTTTCTTTCCTTTTTTTTTTTTTTTGAGATGGAGCTTTGATCTTGTTGCCCAGGCTGGAGTGCAGTGGCGCGATCTCAGCTCACCACAACCTCCACCTCCCAGTTCAAGTGATTCTCCTGCCTCAGCCTCCCAAGTAGCTGGGATTACAGGCATGTGCCACCACGCCTGGCTAATTTTGTATTTTTAGTAGAGACAGGGTTTCTCCACGTTGGTCAGACTGGTCTCAAAACTCCCGACCACAGGCTCCCACCCACCTCGAGCTCCCAAAGTGCTGGAATTACAGGCGTGAGCCACCGCACCCAGCCTATAATGCATCTTTCACCCAACAACAAAATCCATGTTCCTGAGTGCACCTCTGACCTATGATTCTCCCACTCCAAATCCCCTCCTTGGCTTTTCTCTGCTGAGTGAGTAAGGCTCTAACCCCAAAGCCAGGCATTCAGGGACCTTGACAGTCTAATGTCATCTTGCCTTCCACACCTCGGCTCCTACTACTCCCCATCACATTCTCTTGTCCATCCAGCTAGAGTATACCACCTTCTCTCCTCTCTGCGTACCCTGACCTTTGTTTTGACTTCTGCATTTGCTCAGGCCATTCCTCCCCATTAGAATTCCTTCTACTACTCCTCCATCCTCAGGTTGTCACATGTTTAAAGCTCAACTATTCTGCAAGGCCCTGCCCTACCAGCTCCCAGCAAGAAACATTCATCCCTCGTGACATGTTAGGTGCATCTCTCTGTGTTATCCCTTCAAATCTTGTAATACAATCACGTACGTGATTCTACTTCCCTAGAGGATTTCTGAGACTAAATCCATACTGAAATAATCTTTGTATTCCGTTAGAGTGTATAGCATACAGACTTGCACATAACAGGCATTCCATTAAAAAAAAAGTTGAAAAAAAATAGACTTTTAAAAAGTTTATGACACTTTCTAATTCGTATTTGTTCTAGAGCACTGTATTAGTTTTTTCTCGCACTGCTGTAAAGAAATACCTGAGACTGGGTAATTTATAATGAAAAGAGGGATAATTGGCTCACAGTTCTGTAGGCAGTACAGGAAGCACGATGCTGGCATCTGCTCGGCTTCTTGGGAGGCCTCAGGAAACTTACAATCACGTGGAAGGCAAAGCAGGAGCAGGCATATCTTAACATGGCGGGAGCAGAAGGAAGAGAGGAAAAGGGTAGATGCTACACACTTTTAAACAAACACTGGACTGGGCGAGGTGGCTCACGCCTTAATCCCAGCACTTTGGGAGGCCGAAGTGTGCAGATTACCTGAGGTCAGGAGTTTGAGACCAGCCTGGCCAAGATAGTGAAACCCCATCTCTGCAAAAATACAAAAATTAGCAGGGCACGATGGCAGGTGCCTGTAATCACAGCTACTTGGGAGGCTGAGGCAGGAGAATTGCTTGAACCTGGGAGGCGGAGGTTGCAGTGAGCCAAGATTGCGCCATCACACTCTACCCAGAATGAGATTCCATCTCAAAAAAAAAACAAAAAACAAAAACAAAAACAAAAAAACAACCAACCAGATCTGAGAATAACTCACTCACTCACTATCAGGAGAACAGCACGCAGGGGACGGTGCTAACCCATTCCTGAGAACTCCGCCCCCATGACCCAATCACCTCCCACCAGGCCCCACCTCTAACACTGGTGATTACAATTTGACATGAAATTTGACGGGGACACAGATCCAATGCATATCAGGCACACATGGCTGAGCAGTTTCTGCCTTGTCTCCCAATGTAGTCTATTAGAAGTGGCTGCTTGAAGTGCTGTGTAGAGATAGATAAAGCCACATCCAGCCTCAGGGGAAAAGAGTGCATGATTAATTAGTAATGTCTTATCATTAGTACAGGATGGAAATAATAACAAGCACAAAACAGATTTGACATTTCTGTTCCAGGTGCTTGGACGAACAGATTACGATTCAGCATATATGCTCAATTCAAAGTGGAATGTTGGGGCCAGGCATGGTGGCTCACACTTGTAATCACAGCACTTTGGGATACTGAGGCAGGAGGATCACTTGAGGCCAGGAGTTCAAGATCAGCCTAGGCAACATGGTGAGACCTCATCTCTATAAAACATTAGCCAGGCGTGATGGCATGCACCTGTAGTCCCAGCTACTTGGGAGGCTGAGGCAGGAAGATCACCTGAGCCCAGGAGTTCAAGGGAGCTATGATCACGCCACTACATTCTAGCCTGGATTCTTCTACAAATTCTTTGACAAACTTACACTCCTAATAAGTAGTGGGAAGATTACAGGTAGTCTTACTTTCCCCCAGAGGCTGCTCTTATTAACTGACTCCAGCCTGCCTGTACCTTCTGGTACCTTTCTCTGCCACCTGGAAGCCTATTCCTTTGCACCAGCTTTGGCCTGAACCCTGTGGCAAGTTTATTTGCCACCAGTAGGCTGCATGATCCTGTGGCAGCCATGAGCTCTCCAAAGAAGTTTTAATCTCAGCCTTTGTGGGAAGAGAAGGGGAGGCGAAGAGGGGCCCTTCTAAGCTCTTAGTATGTCATCCTAGTTTATAAACTAGTCCTGTCCATCAGTTTTTGTCTAATGCAGTTGTATCCATAAAGTTCAGTTGTAGAAAGAAACACCCTAGCTATTTTAAGTAAAAAGGCAATATGATATGGAGAATTACATGCTTAAAAAATAATTGTTAGGGTTGAAAGGCAGCTCTGGGCTGAGTCTCCGGAAATGGTTCCTAGAACAACACACAGAAGTGGGCTTCCAGGGAAGCTGCTACCTCTGCCATAGCCGGGAAGGTGGATAAAAAAAAACTATCAAATTCAAGAACACCAACTCAAGCACCGTTCACAGCTTAAATGTGGCTCACTCTTTGCATGTTCTGTCTCTCCGAATGATTTCCCTGCTCTCCCATCTGGTTCTGTGCCCTGGAAGCTGTATTTTCTCTCTCTCTCTCTCTCTCTCTCTTTCTTTTCTGGCTCCCATTGCCATTGTCACTATTATATCCTGACCCAGGTTGCAGGGCTCAGTCATGACTGGGTGCTGTCAGGACAAGGGGAGCTGTAAGCCTTTGGTCTTCATCTGATTTAACCCATTATCAGAGGACTTTGCTGATGGAATTGTTTTGGTATAGTTAGTGGGCATGGTTTTTTTCAATCAATGCTTTGTGTCAGAAGACTCACATATACCAGGGCACTCCCACTGAACAGCTGCAACTATCTTTGATCCCACCCACAGTTTACAGCCTGTCCTATTTCTAGTGTGTGTCCCATAGTCTAGCTTGCATGACCCCTGACCCTCAGGTAAGCAGTGCTCCTGCCTGAGTAATGACTGGAGCCAGCGGAACCCTCCTTCACCCCTCTAAGAAGTGAGTAGGACCAAGAGATGGGCATCCCTCCTAAGCCCACTTCATGAGCGCAGGGCCCTCAGAAATCTCCAGGGGAGAAACAGCTGCCCACCCTTTTCCACAGACACGTCCCCAAACTTTGAAGGTTAGGGGCCCAATACTCCTTGAGGAAGGAGAGACAGGAGACATAAGTAGCAAGCACTTTTAATCTCTACAGATTCTGCATTCCCCTTATAAGGAAACTTAGATATCAATGGCTGCTAAGGTCACAAAAACAGAAACACCAGATGTGATGTGCCTCTTATAGTCTTGGCAAATACCACCTATAGTCCTGCCAGAGGGATTAAAGCTGAGCCTGTGTCTAGATCCAGCTGTCAATTGCCAGGAAATACAAAGGACAGAGGAACATGAAGAACTACACCGAAAGTACACAATCAGCAAAATCCAGGCTGTGGACCCTCCACAAGTCAAACAGCCTGGGTCCGTCAACTGGTGAGCTGTCACAAAATGAAGGAGATGGAGGAGGTTTGCATAGATTAAAAAACATTTAGAAGACACACCACCTTCTTTAAATGGGCTAGACTAAACCAAATCTTGGAATGTATACATGGATGATAACACTCCAAAAAAATATGTGGAAGTGACATAAACAATGCTCAGGAATTTTTTTTAATGGGGAGTGGAAGGGGATTTTGACAAAGTCCTTTTCTTGTCTCTAGGTGGAGTTCACCTCATTATAATTCATTAAGCCACCATTTGAGTTCTGTGGCTTCCAGTATCTGTGTCTTATTTACGATAACGATTATTTTTGGAAAATAAAGAAGTAAGAAAACAGAGGTGATTTGTTTCAGAGAGGAGAACGGCTCCGGGTGAAAGGTCACTGGACCTGATGAGGAGTCCTGGGTTGGAGTACCAACCGTCACTGTCTCTGGAAAGCCCTGCAGCTTCTTGGAGCCTCAGCTCCTTACTTATGTGGCAATGGACCAGTGTGGCCAACTCTGAAAGCTCCAATCACCCGTATTCCAAGGACTCTACGGTCAGAAGTTTTGGCAAGATGAGGTCATGGATTGCCTCACTTTTCTTTTTTCTTTTTTTTCATTTTTTACAGACAGGGTCTTGACAAGGTCTTGCTCTGTTGCCCAGGCTGGACTGCAAAAGCACGACTGTGGCTCATTGCAGCCTCCATTGCCTGGCCTGAAGCAATCCTTCTGCCTCAGCCTCCCAAAGTGCTAGGACTAGAGGTGTGCATCACCGTGCCTGGCTAGTTTTCTATCTTTTATAGAGATGGGGTCTTATTATGTTGCCCAGGTTGGTCTTGAGCTCCTGGCCTCAAGCAATGGTTCCATCTTGGCCTCCTAAAGTGCTGGGATTACAGGCATGAGCCACTGCACCCAGCCTGCCTCAGTTTTCAAGTTGATATGACCCTGGGCTATTACTAAAGTTCAAAAAGTATTTTCTAAAAAAGAAACTGTCATCTAGAAAAAGGACATGTTCAATACGACGGACATTAGGAGCTTGCCCAATATCCATGTAGCCTGCAATCTTGTTTCCTTACTAACAGAACCCTAAGTATTGAGGGCAGCAATTTGCCCAGCTAAAAGAAAGTGGGTTTCCCAGGTACCCATATGCCAGGGGTGGCCTGTGAGGACAGTAGGTGGGGCTTCCAGGAAATCTATTGTTTGTTTTTCCGATAAAAGTAACAGGCTCAACTGGCTTATGATTTTTACCTTTTGTCCTTCCTCGGCTTCACGCCTGGAATGAGGATGAATGCCTGGAGGCACCACAGCTGTCCATTGAGCCTGAGAAAGAGGATCACATGCTAAGTATGGCAGAGAAGGAAGATGGCAGAAGCTTGAGGGATTTTTGTTTTTGTTTTGAGACAGGGTCTCACTATGTCGCCCAGGCTGGAGTGCAGTGGCACAATCTCGGCTCACTGCCACCTCCGCCTCCCACGCTCTAGCAGTCCTCCCACCTCAGCCTCCCAAGGGGCTGGGACCACAGGCGCATGCCACCAAGCCTGGCTAATTTTTTTATTTTTTGTAGAGATGAGGTCTCACCATATTGCCCAGGCTAGTCTTGTACTCCTGGGCTCAAGCAATCTGCCCACCTTGGCCTCCCAAAATGTTGGAAGTATAGGCGTGAGCCACTGTGCCTGGCTAAGCTTGAGTTCTTATTGGTTTCACAGAGTCACTGCCCAATCCCTGGTTGCTGCTTCCAGACTTCTGACATGTAATGAAATGAAACCTCTTGGTTGTTAAACCCTTGTGATTGGGTTTCTGTTAACTGCAACCAAATAACTCTCTAAAAGATTGAATTCCTCCATCTGCAGGGATTTACCTGAAAACGAGAAACTAACATTGTAATAGTCACACTTATACGGCCAGGGTATCTAAGAGGCGATGTGAGAAGACCTTTGCTCTTGCCCAGATGTAGAAATGGCACCAATATAGAAGTTCCCTTGGTTTTGCTGACTGACAGTGAGGAGTAAATGTTTTCAGATAGGCTGGGTGTGCTGGCTCACACCTGTAATCCCAGCACTTTGGGAGGCTGAGGTGGGCAGATCACTTGAGGTCAGGAGTTTGAGACTAGCCTGACCAACACGATGAAATGCCGTCTCTACTAAAAATACAAAAATTAGCTGGGCGTGGTGGTGCACACCTGTAATCCCAGCTACTTGGAAGGCTGAGGCAGGAGAATCGCTTGAATCTGGAAGGCAGAAGTTGCAGTGAGCTGCAATTGTGCCACCGCACTCCAGCCTGGGTGACAGAATAAGAGTCCGTCTAAGCCGGGCGTGGTGGCTCACGCCTGTAATCCCAGCACTTTGGGAGGCTGAGGCGGGCGGATCACGAGGTCAGGAGATCGAGACCATCCTGGCTAACACAGTGAAACCCCGTCTCTACTAAAAATACAAAAAAATTAGCTGGGCGCGGTGGCGGGCACCTGTAGTCCCAGCTACTCGGGAGGCTGAGGCAGGAGAATGGCGTGAACCCAGGAAGCGGAGCTTGCAGTGAGCTGAGATCACGCCACTGCACTCCAGCCTGGGCGAAAGAGCAAGACTCCGTCTCAAAAAAAAAAAAAAAGACTCCGTCTAAAAAAAAAAAAATTATTCTGGATAACAGAGTGGACGATAGGTGATTCTGAGACTTCCAACAGAGTTCCCAGGAAACTAATGAGAACGTGAACATAGAAGAGCTTAATAAGCAATAGGACACCATGCACCTAGATGGGGTGCTTATGTTCATTTTAAACTCTTTTATACATGGTAAAAGTAAAATAGAGACTTCCAAAATATGAAGAACCATAGTGGGAAGAGCACTGGATTTTGGGCCAGAGGGATCAATGTTCAAGACTCGTCACTTGTTGGCTGTGAAACCTCAGGCAAGTTCAGTCATTTTGCTTCTCTAAGCCTCATTTTCTGCACCAGCTAAACGTGTGATGTGCCTGCCTTGTGAGATCGTAGGGAGGGCTGGATCTGATGATGTGGGTGAAGGTGCCCACCGCAGCCTGTGTGACTCTCAGCATGTGCTCTACAAATGTAAGCCCTTTGTCCCTTTTCTCTTGCACCCAGTAAGTTCTCATTAACTAACAGTTCAAGTTAAATCTAAACTGTGATCTCAAGACTAAACAGAACTTAATTATTCTCTGGTCCAGCCCCCTTCTGAGGCCAGTAACTCGGCTTCAATATCTCTTCCAGATGGAAAGCCAGCCTCTGCACACTCTCAGGAAAGGATACTCACTCGGCTTAAGGCAGCCCCTTCAAGCTCTGGGCAGCTCTGCCTATTACCAGGTTATTTTCTGGACTGAGTTGAAATCTGTCTTCCAGGTCTTCCTCCCAGGAACCAGACTATAGCCCTTTTCTGACTGCTTGAGCACTGACTCCTTGAATTTGAGCCATGTGCAGCCCCTCCCTGGTTCTCTGGATGACACAGTCACTCTCTGCCAAGGTTACTGCCTCTTCCATTGCACCGGGTGGTTGGTCTGCATTGGTCAGAATTACATGTGGAGTAGCCATTTCCCACAGCACCCACTCCCTACAGGTCAGATGCTGGCCATCAAGCCACAGACCAAATCTGGATTGTGGATGTGTTTTTTGACCTCACAGTGTTTTTTAAAAAATGGAATTAACCAGAAGCTTTCACATTTTAAAAAATCCAGGTAGGCCGGGTGTGGTGGCCCACGCCTGTCATCCCAGCACTTTGGGAGGCCGAGGTGGGTGGATCACCTGAGGTCAGGAATTTGAGACCAGCCTGACCAACATGGTGAAACCCCGTCCCTACTAAAAATACAAAAATTAGCCGGGCTTGGTGGCGGGCGCCTGTAATCTCAGCTACTCGGGAGACTGAGGCAGGAGAATTGCTTGGAGGCGGAGGTTACAGTGAGCTGAGATTGCGCCATTGCACCCCAGCCTGGGCAACAAGAGCAAAACTCTGTCTCAAAAAAAATAAAAATAAATCCAGGTAATTATAGAAAATTTGTCAATACCATTACCAAGTCTTCTTTCCCATATGCTAGGATTTGGCTGGAGCTGAGTAGAAGCTACTCCAGACACAGGGGCACAGGGGTCGGCCATTCACCTAGCTGTCTTATGCCCACTGGCCCACCATTTATGTTTAATACTTGTTTCCTATAGGCATTAGAGTTTGCAACCTGAACTCCATTCAACGGGGTCCTCCTTGTAGGTAAACAGTTCACTTTTAGTCAGGACCACCGTAATGCACATCCTCAAAAGTAACTTGACTTTCTGCAAAATCCTTTTTGGATGCCACCTTTGAATATTCATCCTAAAGAAACACTTCCATGTGTTCTTAAGTAACATGAGTAAATATTTTATCACACTATTGCTAATAATAAAGATTAGCTGAGAATAATTTAAATACCTATCTACTGGCAAGTGACTAAGTCAATTGAAGTATCTCCATGTCATGGAATACTATAAAATAATAAAATAATATAGACATAAAATCATATAGTATATTAAAGTAGTATATTAATAATTAATATACTATAGTAATAAGATAGTAATAATAGTAATAGGCTATATGTTCAGACTTTAAAAAATCTCTATATTAAGTAAAAATAGTAAGTTGCAATATAATATAAAATATATAATTTATATGTAAAAAACAAATAACGTATTTACATATAGGTACATGTATGTAAATAGGTAGAAAAAGCCTGAGAAGACAACACACTAAATTTATAGCAGTAGTTACTTTTAAAATGGGACTGGAGGTTGGGTGCAGTGGCTCATGCCTGTAATCCCAGCACTTTGGGAGGCAGAGGTGGGCAATCACCTGAGGTCAGGAGTTCAAGACCAGCCTGGCCAACACGGTGAAACCCCGTCCCTACCAAAAATACAAAACCTTAGCCCGATGTGATGGCACACACCTGTAGTCCCAGCTACTTGGGAGGCTGAGGCACAAGAATCGCTTCAGCCTGGAAGGCAGAGGTTGCAGTGAGCCGAGATCGTGCTATTGCACTCCAGCATGGGCAACAAGAGCGAAACTCTGTCTCAGAAAAATAAATAAAATAAAATGGGACTGGAATTAGGGATAATAGTCAAGAAAGACTTTGGCTGTATTAGTATTGTTTTGATTTTTTTAGTGAGAATGTATTTATGTCTTGTTTGGGTTGTAGAAATCAAATTAAAAAGACAATTCCTGCTGTGCGCAGAAGCTCATTTCTAACACCAAGACGGAATGTGAAGAAATAAATCACCCAGAATCACATTCTGTTTGTGAGCTTAGTTAACATGTCATGCATTTCTACAGAGTCTGTAACTCCAGGCTTTTTTGGGGATAGTTCCAATTTCAAATATTCTGTGTCCTCATAACTACACTCATTCTTGCCAGACGTAGGCTTCTGACTTTAGGTATGGAAAATACAGTCACTGTATACCTTATACAAATTGCTGTTTCTAAGCAACTATGTATCAAGGATATATCAAATTTACCAAAAATATACCCTGGAAGCCTTTGTGTCCCCAAACAGGGTTCCATAATGCATCACTTCTGACCAATATAAATTCTTGTGGGCTCAGAGGATGAGGGAAATTCATCCAAGTGTTCCACCTCGGCTCCAAATGACATAATGACAGCCCAGTTGAAAATAGCACGCAGAGGGCATTGTGCTGTGGGGTCGTGATGCCTGCAGGCCCTCGCATTCCTTCAGAGGCTGAGCGCTGAAACTGGCGTCTACCAGCACCCCCTCACCTCCAGACAGACGCCTGGCTCTGTGTGAGGCAGTCCAGGGAGAGGCTGGCTGGGGTATTTCCACGTCTCACAGGAGCCTCCTATCTAAGACATCTGAGACAAGACTGGGATTTGGTCTCGGAGCAGAGGAGGAGAGGACTACTCACAAAATCACAGACCTTCTGATGAGACATAACCTGATGTGTAAAGGTACTAACAGGACCGGACAAGCCCAGGAGGTAAGCTTCCCCCAGAGAAGGAACTCAGCCACAGCAGAAGGATCTGAAGTTTTTTAATTTCATTTTTTTTCTTCTTCTTCTTCTTTTTTTTTTTTTAGAGATAGGATCTTGCTATGTTGCCCAGGCTGGTTTCAAATTCCTGGACTCAAGCGATTATCCCACCTTGGCCTCCGGAAGTGCTGGGGTTACAAGTGTGAACCACGTACCTGGCCCTGAATTTTGATTGGGCCAAGAGGAGTGATACAAATGTAAAGAAAACCACAGTGAGATTCCTCTTCACACCCATTAGTATGGCTGTTATTAAAAACAACAACAGCACAAAAACAAAAAATAACACATGTTGGCAAGGATGTGGTGAAATTTGAACTCTAGTGCATTACTGGTAGAAATGTGAAAGGGTGAGTCTGCTGGGAAAAATAGTCTGGCAGTTCCTTGAAAAATTAACTTCAGGCCGGACACGGTGGCTCACGCCTGTAATCCCAGCACTTTGGGAGTCCGAGGCTGGCAGATCATGAGGTCAAGAGGTCGAGACCATTCTGGCCAACATGGTGAAACCCCGTCTTTACTAAAAATACAAAAATTAGCTGGGCATTGTGGTGCGTGTCTGTAGTCCCAGCTACTCGGGAGGCTGAGGCAGGAGAATCACTTGAACCCGGGAGGCGGAGGTTGCAATAAGCTGAGATTGTGCCACTGCACTCCAGCCTGGGCGACAGAGCCAGACTCCATCTCAAAAAAAGAAAAAAAAAGAAAAATTAACTTCAGAATTACCCTATGATCCAGTAATTCTACTTCCAGGTATATCTCCAAAAGATTTTGTTTTTGTTTTGTTTTGTTTTGTTTTGTTTTTGATACGAAGTCTCACTCTGTTGCCTAGGCTGGAGTGCAGTGGTGCGAGCTCACTGCAGCTTCTGTCTCCTGGGTTCAAGCAATTCTCCTTCCTCAGCTTCCCGAGTAGTAGCTGGGATTACAGGCATATGCCACCACAACTGGCTAATTTTTGTATTTTTAGTAGAGACAGAGTTTCGCTATGTTGGCCAGGCTGGTCTCAAACTGACCTCAAGTGATCCATCTGCCTCAGCCTCCTGAAATGCTGGGTTTACAAGTGTGAACCACTGTACCTGGCCAGAAGATTTGAAAGCAGAGACTCAAACAGATATTTGTACACCAATATTCCAAACAAGGGCTGAAAGGTGGAAGCAACACAAATGTACCTCGACTGGTGAACAGATCAAGAAAATGTGGTATGTACATATAATAGAATATTACTCAGCCTTAAGAGGAAGACAATTTTTATTCATGCTACGACAGGAATGAACCTTGAAGACATTTTGCTAAGTGAAATAAGCCAGTCACAAAAGGGCAAATACTGTGTGTGATTCCACTTACATGAGGTACCAACAATAGCCAAATTCAGGAAGACAGCAATTAGAATGGGGTCTCCAGGCCAGGTGGAGGAGTGGGGAATTATTCAGAGTTACTGCTTAATGGGTACAGAGTATCAGTTGGGGAAGATGGAAAAGTTCTGGAAATGGATAATGGTGATGGTTGCAGAACAGTGTGAATGTACTTCATGCCACTGAATTGTACACTTAAAATGGTTAAAATGGTAAATTTGATGTTATCTATATGGAACCACAGTTTTTTATAAAAGGATGAAACTCAGAAAGCCAGAGTCACCTCAAAGGTCTCTGCTGCTGCTCAGGCGTCAGCCTACTGTGAATGGACGGGATTGTGGGAACGAAGCCTTAGATAAGGTATTAGAGCTGGTTATATGCCATTCCACAGGAAAGGCCATCGTAATCCAGAGGGAGTCAAAACTAATGACACCTTCCGATGGGTTGAGCTTGGCTCTTTATTCTTGCTTTGGTGGTCGTCAGGAGGGTAGAAATTTATCTTCAACGCCACACAGTGTGTGTTGTGCTCAGCTTCCCTTAGAAGGTTATGCTTTTCTTCTTTACTTTTTTCCCTTCCTTAGGAGGGAAAAATTTTTCAAGGAACTGCCAGACTATTTTTCCCAGCAGACTCACCCTTTCACATTTCTACCAGCAATGCACTAGAGTTCAAATTTCACCACATCCTTGCCAACTTGTGTTATTTTGTTGTTTTTGTGCTGTTGTTGTTTTTAATAACAGCCATCCTAATGGGTGTGCCTTCCTTAGGAGGCAGCCACATATGAAATCCATGTGCCTGTGTTAATGCAAAGGTGGAATTTCCTATGGCTGGCATGCTCACTGCACAGGGATGGAAGGCCAGTTGGGTGGAAAGGATGAGAAAGCTGAGGTCCTGGAGGGCTTTGAGGGACGGGGTATTATTGTAGAACCCTGTCGTATGTCTGCGGAAGATGGGGAATGTGAGATAAGATTGCTGCATGGCCAAGAGGGTAGGGTGTGAGTATTGAAGCACTGGAGGGGTGTGGTGTATGTTTACAAAAGCTCTCATTAAGAGATTCTTATCCCAACTCCGGGAGGCAGGCATGACTATGGACTATCTCTATAGATTGGATAAGAAAGTGAGGCTTAGAGACCGGGAGCGGTGGCTCACGCCTGTAATCCCAGCACTTTGGGAGGCCAAGGCAGGTGGATCACCTGAGGTCAGGAGTTCAAGACCAACCCGGTCACCATGATGAAACCCCATCTCTACTAAAAAATTACAAAAATTAGCCCGGCATGGTGGTGCGTGCCTGTAGTCCCAGCTACTAGGGACTCAGGAGGCTGAGGCAGAAGAATCACTTGAACCCAGGAGGCGAAGTTTGCAGTGAGCCGAGATCACGCCACTGCACTCTAGCCTGGGCAACAGAGTGAGACCCCATCTAAAAAAAAAAAAAAGAAAGTGAGGCTTAGAGAGAAGAAGGAATGTATCTAAATTGCTGCAATGAATTAGCAGTGCCGCCGGAACCAGAACTATATTTCCTGTACCCAGGTCCAAGGCATTTAGTACTTGTCCTACGGAATCTAAAAATTGAGGGTCTCAAGCACATTATTGGCTCTCACTGACACATTACATGGTAAATTAGCAAGTATAGCAATTCAGACTGAAGCTAGAATAATTATTGATACAATAGGTGTGGCTACAATTCAAAAATGGCCCCCATGATCTCTTCCCTCTGGTTTCATGCCCTTGGGTATGGGTGTGACCTGTGACCTACTTCCAACATAGAATATGGCAGAGGTTATGGGATATCACTACTGTAATTACATTATATTGTATAGCAAAAGCGACAGGAGTTTGCAGATGTTATTAAGGCCCTAATCAGTTGACTTTGAATTAATCAAAAGGCAGATTATCCTGGGTGGGCCTGACCCAATCAGAGGAGTCCTTTATAAAGGGCTCAGGCATTCCCGAAAGTCAGAGATTCCAAGCAGCAGACAGTAAGGGTCCTTTCTCTCTCTCTCTCTCTCTCTGTCTCTCTCCACACACCCCCTTTCCTCTGCTGCTGACTTTAAAGAAGCAAGCTGCCATAAATTCTACAGCTACAAAGAAGTGAATTCTTTCAAAAACCTGAGGAAATTTAGAAGCAGTTCCTCCCCTAGTCTAGCCTGAAAATAATGCAACTCAGACAGCACCTTGATTTTAGCCCTCTGGGATCCTGAGAAGGGAACTCAGTTAAATCACACCTGGATTCCTGATCTTGGACTTCCAATGCAGAAAATAGTAAGGACGTTGTTTTAAGCTGCTTCATTTGTGGTAATTTGTTATGCTGCAATGGAAAACCAATATAATAGGTAAGTAAATTGGTTCTGTCCAAAAATATTTAGAGAGAAAAACCATATCCTAAGGGGTTGCCAAATGAACGTAACTTCAGAAGGTATAAGAATCCACCTACCAGCCAGGCATGGTGGCTCACGCCTGTAATCCCAACACTTTGGGAAGTCGAGGCAGGTGGATCACTGCATGAGATTGCTGCATGGCCAAGAGGGTAGGGTGTGAGTATTGAAGCACTGGAGGGGGGTGGTGTATATTTACAAAAGCTCTCATTAAGAGATTCTTATCCCAACTCTGGGAGGCAGGCATGACTATGGACTATCTCTATAGATTGGGTAAGAAAGTGAGGCTTAGAGGCCGGGCGCGGTGGCTTATGCCTGTAATCCCAGCACTTTGGGAGGCCGAGGCAGGTGAATCACCTGAGGTCAGGAGTTTGAGACCAGCCTGGCCAACATGGTGAAACCCTGTCTCTACTAAAAATACAAAAATTAGCCGGGCGTGGTGGTGGGCGCCTATAATCCCAGCTAATCAGGAGGCTGAGGCAGGAGAATTGCTGGAACCTGGGAGGTGGAGATTGCAGTGAGCCGGGATCGCACCATTGTACTCCAGCCTGGGTGACAACAGGGAGACTCTGTCAAAAAAAAAAAAAAAAAAAAAAGCACCTACCTAGCTGAATCCTTATCCTCTTCAGCTCCTCTTAAAGTTTAAAGATACATAAAACTGTGGAGTTCAGGAGGTGCTTTGGCACATAGGATTTCATTGAGTCTTGCTAACAACCATGCAAGGAAGGTATTATTTTTATACCCACTTGACAGATGAGGAAACTCAGACTCAGGTTTGGAGAATGGTTCTTTTAACACATATTCATAAGGCACTTTCTCTCAGACACTGTTCTAGGTACTGATGATGCATCAGTGAAACAAACACACAAAAGGAGCTTATAGTACAGGAGAGCTTACAGTGGGCATTAAATGATGTATGTAGATATTAAATAATCTGCCTAGAATTCTGGTTAACAAAGAGTGAAAATTAGAGCCCTGATCTATCTAGCTTCCAAAGTCTATATTTTTGGCACTATAAAAAGATTTAATTTGAATTCCCTGCTCTGACATTAAAATTGTTTTGTAAATGTGTGTATACACATGTATTTTCCTTTCTTTCAGTATTGTATTCCTTAAAAGGAAGTTACTATGCATAACCCATGCTTAAGGAGTGGGGTAATTATGCGCTCTGTTTTTTAGGGTGGAATATCCGCATAATTTATTTGGAATTCTCTCTCTCTTTTTTTTTTTTTTTTTTTTTTTTGAGACAGAGTCTCGTTCTTTGCCAGGCTAGTGTGCAATGGCGTGATCTTGGCTCACCGCAACCTCCGCCTCCTGGGTTCAAGTGATTCTCCTGCCTCAGCCTCCCGAGTAGCTGGGATTACAGTTATGTGTCACCATGCCCAGCTAATTTTGTATTTTTAGTAGAGATGGGATTTCTCCATGTTGGTCAGGCTGGTCTCGAACTCCCGACCTCAGGTGATCCACCTGCCTTGGCCTCCCAAAGTGCTGGGATTACAGGCATGAGCCACTACGCCTGGCCAGAATTCTTTAGCATAGGATATTTATCTCTTCTCCCCCATTCATTTATTTATTCAATAATTTATTTATATCAGTATGGACTCAGAGACATTTATTTTACACTTTGGGTTATAATAAAATGCTATGCATTTTGTTGCTCACATTGTTCCAGCTATGGTTACTGTTACCTCTTTCAATGGACTCTTCCTGTATCCATTTGACATATCCCCAACAAAGTTGTTGCACAAATTTGAGCACTTCCTTACTTTCTGGCACTACAAGATGCTCCAGGCTCATCTTATATATTCCGGCCCCAGTCCTAGAATCAAACATTTCTCCAAGCAGCCCTGACTGCTCATACTGAAGAATGGTATTAGCAGTCAGGATCTGCCCAGTAGGTGCACTCACTGCTACTGAGGCACTTTTACTTCTGTATTTTTAGATTGAGCACTTTATCTCTGAGTGAAGTAATTATAATTAAGTCTTCCATATTTTGTATACAGGTTGATTCTAAAAGTTAAAGTAAGTAAACAGCAAAAGAATGAATTTGGGGCTGGGAACGGTGGCTCACGCCTGTAACCCCAACACTTTGGGAGGCTGAAGTGGGAGGATCACCTGAGGTCAGGAGTTCGAGACCAGCCTGGCCAACATTGTGAAACCCCATCTCTTCTAAAAATACAAAAATTAGCCGGGCTTTGTGGCAGGTGCCTGTAATCTCAGCTACTCAGGAGGCTGAGGCAGGAGAATTGCTTGAACCCGGGAGGCGGAGGTTGCAGTGAGCCGAGATCATGCCACTGTACTCCAGCCTGGGCAACAAGAGTGAAACTCTGTCTCAAAACAAACAAACAAACAAACAAAACAAACAAACAAAAAGAATAAATTTGGACCTCTACTTCACAACATATGTATAAAAGTAACTCAAAATTGACCAAAGATCTAAACGTAAGAGCAAAAACTTAAATGCTTAGAAGAAAACATAGGCATAAATCTTTATGAACTTGGATTAAGTAATAATTTTAAAAATATGACACCAAGAACATAAGTAACCAATAAAAAAGTAGGTAAGTTGGACCTCGTCAAGTTAAAAACTTTTGTGGTTCAAAAGACGTTATCAAGAAAGTAAAAAGACAGCACACAGAATGGAAGAAAATATTTGTATATCATATACGATCTTACATGATAAGATTCTAGTACTAGAATATATAAAGAACTCTTAAAACTCAACAGTCAAAAAGACAACCTAATTATTAAATGGGCAAAGGATTTGAATAGACATTTTCCCAAACAAATATACAAATGGGCACTGATAACATTAAAAAGAAGCTCAATGTCATTAGTCATTAAGGAAATGCAAATCAAAATCACAATAAAATACCACATCACACCCACTAGGATGGCTATAATAAAAAACTTGGACAATAATAAGTGTTGGAGAGGATGTGGAAAAATTGAAACCCTCATAGATGGCTGGTGGGAATAAAACAATTTTGCAGTTTCTCAAAAGGTTACATCTAGAGGCCGGGCATGGTAGCTCACACCTGCAATCTCAGCACTTTGAGAGGCTAAGGCAGGCGGATCATCTGAGGTCAGGAGTTCGAGACCAGGCTGGCCAACATGGTGAAACCCCATCTCTACTAAAAATACAAAAATTAGCTGGGTGTGGTGGCTGGCACCTGTATTCCTAGCTACTCGGGAGGCTGAGCCAGGAGAATTGCTTGAACCCAGGAGGTGAAAGTTGCAGTGAGTGGAGATTGTGCCATTGCACTCTTGCCTGGGCAACAAGAGGGAAACTCTGTCTCAAAAAAACAAAAAAACAAAAAAAAAAAGAGGCTGGGCACAGTGGCTCACACCTACAATCCCAGCACTTTGGGAGGCCAAGGTGGGAGGATCACCTGAGATCAGGAGTTCAAGACCAGCCTGACCAATATGATGAAACCCCGTCTCTACTAAAAATACAAAAATTAGCTGGTCCTGGTGGCATGCACCTGTAATCTCAGCTACTCGGGAGGCCGAGACAGGAGAATCATTTGAACCCGGGAGGTGGAGGTTGCAGAGAGCCGAGATTGCACCATTGCATTCCAGCCTGGCCAACGAGAGCGAAACTCTGTCTCAAAATAAAATAAAATAAAATAAATAAAAGGTTAGATCTAGAGTTACCATATGACCCACAAATTCTATTCCTAGATATATATTCAAGAAAACTGAAAGCACATGTTAATAAAATGTTTATATCAACATTATTCATAATAGCCAAAAAGTGAAAATAACCCAAATGTCTACCAACTGATGAATAGAGAAAGAAAATGTGGCATGTCCATACAATGGAATATTATTCAGCATTAAAAGGGAATGAGGTACTGATGCATGCTACAACATAGGAAACTTGAAAGCATTATGTTAAGTGAAACAATCCAGACACAAAGGCTACATGTTATATTATTTCATTTATGTGAAATGCCCAGAATAGGTAAATCCATAAAGACAGAAAGTAGATTAGTAGTTGCCAGCAGCTGGGGAAAGGGGCTATGGGGTGTGACCGCTAATGGGCACAGGGTTTCTTTTTGGGGTTATGAAAATGTCCTGAAATTAGCTAACAGTGATGGTTACCCCCTCTGTAGATCCGCTAAAACCCACTGGATTTTATACTTTAAAGGGGTGAATTTTATCACATGTGAATTAATCTCAATCAATAACTAAAGCTTAGAGATACTTTTAGGCTTAAAAAATGTTTATAGCAACATTATTCACAGGCTGGGCACAATGGCTCATGCCTGTAATTCCAGCACTTTCGGAGGATCACTTGTACCCAGGCGTTCAAGGCTGCAGTGAACTGTGATTGAGCCACTGCACTCCAGCCTGGGTGACAGAGTGAGACCTTGTCTCAAAAAAAAAAAAAAAAAAACTTTTAAAAATTAATAAGCAGCATTACATTATATAGTAATTAGATACATAGATGATAGATAATACATGTTTGAGTCACGTGGGGTAAATTCCTATGAGTGGAACTTTTACATGAAAGTGTGTATGCATTTTTTTTTCTCTAGACCTCCTCCATAGTCAAGGTATAATAAGTGTTTTTTAGTTTAGTTTTGTGTTTTTAAATAAAGTCTTCTTATGTTGACCAGGCTGGTCTGAAACTCCTGAACCCAAGTGATCCTCCCACCTTGGCCTCCCAAAATGTTGGGATTACAGGCATGAGCCACCATGTCCAGTCTTGTATGCATTTTCAATTACAGCAGATGATCTTCCATGGAGGTTGTCCTAATTTACACTCCCTACAACAGTTTATAGGGGTGCCTTTGGCCCCACACCATTGCCAACAGGGATATTATTCAGCATTTTAGCTCTCCCACATCTCATAGTGTCTCACTGTAGTTTAATTAGCATTTCTCTTATGTGTAAGAATAAGCATCTTTTCATATATTTTTAAGACATTGTCCTTTTCTTTTGTTTGTCCATGTTCTTTGCCCAATTTTCTATTGAATTATTGGTCTATATTTCATTGAGTTTTAAGAATGTTTAATATACTACTAAAATTAGCCTTTACTGATTCATTGATTCATGTGTTCAAACAGTTTCCCCAGGCTGAGCACGGTGGCTCACCCCTGTAATCCCAGCCATTTGGGAGGCTGAGGCAGGGAGATCACTTGAGGTCAGGAGTCCGAGATCAGCCTGGCCAACATGGCTAAAACCCATCTCTACAGAAATATAAAAATTAGCCTGGTGTGGTGGTGGGTGCCTGTAATCCCAGCTTCTTGAGAGGCTGAGGCAGTAGGATTGCTTGAATCCGGGAGGCAGAGGTTGCAGTGAGCTGAGATCGAACCACTGCACTCCAGCCTGGACAACAGAGAGAGACTGCGTCTCAAACAAAAACAAAAACAAAACAAAACAAACAAACAAACAAAAAACCCTACAACATCAAAGTTTGCTAACTGCTGTATACAATCTGGTGTTGCTTCAAGAGTTCCAGTGACCTGTCTTTCGGGATGTTTCATTCTCCTGCTTCAATCCACTCTCACTTCTTCAGGTCTCTTGCTCAATTGTCTGCTGGGACAGCCTCTACTGCTTGCCGGGTTGGTTTCACTGTTCATGGAACCCGTGTCTTTATTTTCCTGGCATTCTCCTTCATTTTCCTGTTGCACTTTTTGGTGGTTGTTGTTGTCCCACTGCTTCACTGCCCTTCCCCCACCAGCAGAACTTGGACGCTTTTGAGCTCTGTGATTTGGGACAAGCAATGGGACCTCCCTGACCCTCAGCTTTCTCCTCTGTGAAGATGATAATACCTTCCCCACAGGATGAATTGAGATGATGGAGTGGAGAGTGCTCAGGGCTGTGGCTGGCATGTTGTAGGAGATCAGAAATGGTGGCCCATCTGGAGCTAAGCAGTGACGCAGCTAACTCGGTGCTTCAGTGCTCCTCCTCCCTCCGCTCCTCTCCCCATCTCCCTCAACAGGACTTCTTCTCCAGCCCTCACCTTCAAAGAAGGATTATATGGTCATGCGCACCAAGGCATCTCCAGGAATCAGAACGGTTCATGAGTTTTCTAAAAAGTATTTATTATGGAAAATTTCAGATGCACACAAAACTAGAAAGAATAGCATAATAAACCACCATGTACCCAGCTACAGCATGTATTAACCCATAGACACGTTTATTTTATCTGTATCTTCATGCATTCTCCACGCCCCACTCTTCATACATAAAGGATCATTTTGAATCAAATCCCACATCTCACATCATTTCACTTGTAAATATTTCAGTAGGTAGCTCTGAAAGATAAAAATTAAAAACATACAATGCCATACGTGCATCTACAAAATTAAATAATTTATTAGTATAATCCCATCCACTGTTTAGATTTCTCTGATTTTATTATAATTTTTAAAAATGGTTGGTTTGTTGCAATCAAGATGCAAGCAAAATCCACGTATGGGGTTTGGTTAATATGTCTCTTTAGTCTTTTTTAGTCTAAAGGCTTCTTCTCTCGCTTATTTTCTTCCTCTTGCCATTTATTTGTTGTTGTGTTTTCACTTGCGATTATTGTCCTATATCTAGAGTTAGCCACATTCTAGGGTTTGCCAGTTGCAACCTTGGGATGTCATTCTACCCAGAGGCTGATTCTTTGGTGCCTTTGTTCCAGTGTAGACATGCAGCATGCAAGCAGGAGGGGGCTCAATGAAAGAGCAGTAGGTCATCTTTTCCAACCTTGCCACATCAGTGCCCTGACCAGCCACACCACTAAAGTGCTCTGGTGAATTTCTTTTCCAACACCCTAATGCTGAGGCTTTCCAGCCATCCACCCATCCATCCATCACTCATTTCCTTGGCCATCCACCACCCATTAAATGTGAGGATACTATGGCCCAGGCACTGAGCCTAGTGCTGAGGATACAGGGCTGAATCAGACCCAGCCTTGATCCTCAGGGTGGTCAGGGCCAGTGCAAAAACAAGCAAGGAGATAAAATATGCTGGTACTAGGCTTTCCTGCTGCATTCTCATTGCAGACTTGCGTGAAAGGGAGCTTACAGCAGGAGTCCCACTGGACATTAGAAAAAGCTTCCAAAGGCCAGGTGTGGTGGCTTATGCCTGTAATCCCAGCACTTTGGGAGACCGAGGCAGGCGGATCACCTGAGGTCAGGAGTTTGAGACCAGCCTGACCAACATGGAGAAACCCCATCTCTACTAAAAATACAAAATTAGTCGGGCGTGGTGGTGCATGCCTGAAATCCCAGCTCCTCGGGAGGCTGAGGCAGGAGAATCGCTTGAACCCAGGAGGTGGAGGTTGCAGTGAGCTGAGACTGTGCCACCAGACTCTAGCCTGGACAACAAGAGTGAAACTCCGTCTCAAAAAATAAAAAAATAAAAGAAGAAGAAGAAGAAGAAAAGAAAAAGCTTCCAAAGTGGCTCCTGAAATGTCTGTCACAGGACTCAGCCAGGCAAGGGGGAGGGAGTGAAGGGTGAGGAGGAAAGAGAGGACATTCAGAACAGGCGAACTGCAGGTGCAAAGGCCCGGAATCTAGGGAAAGCAGAGTCTGTGGGAGGAACAGCCAGTGTTTCAGGATGGCTAAAGCAGAGGTTGTGAAGGGCAGGGACGACTTTAGACCTTAGAGGCCCCAGGCACTGTTATTTTCCAAGGCCCCACCCCCACACTATACCATGCTTATTAAAATTCACCCACATCACACAGGAAATATGAGTTATATATGGCTACCTAAGGTTGAGGCCAGTTGCAAAGACAATTGACATGTTACATTTTGTAGACATTTAATTACATATTTATCAATTACAACTTGACGGCTTTCTTGTTTTATCAGTTTTGGAGGATGTACATAAATATATAGAATGAGAGTCTCAAAACTAATCTTGTAGCTACGCCTGTGATGGGCTAATTGATGAATCAGTGCTGGAGAATGGGTCACAGTGGCAAATGAGGCTGGAGAGGCCCGTGAGCTGCTGTCCCAGAGGGCCTGGGATGTCCTGCAGGGAGCTTGGCATGAGAAACCTTGGAGAGTTTTAAGCAAGGGCTGATGTGGGCTGCCTAGAAAGGCATGGATGAGAGAAGCCTGGAGACAGGGATCCCAGGGAAACGCCCATGCAATTAGTCTATTTCTGCTGCAAGTAAGCATGCATTTGTAGGCTTGATGCTTTTTTTCTGCTTCTCCAGCCCTGGCCTGGGTCAATCCTTGGGGCCCAGACTGAGCACGTGATGGCAGAGGAAAGGAAGCCCTGCTTCCTCCAGAGGGCGTCGCAGGACAGCTTTTCCTAGACAGGGGCTAGTATGTGCAGCTCCTGCACCGGGATACTGGTTGACAAGTTTGGCTGGGCTGGAAGCCAGCACCTAGGGAGGTCCCTGGAAGGGGCCAGCCTCACCAGGAGAGGAGGGACCTGGCCCTTCAGGGTCGAGCTCAACAGAGGAAAAGATCTCAGGGCACCCAGAGCCCAGTGGCTTTCAGCACCTGCATGAAAATCAGAGATCAACCAGATTACCCCATATTGCCCAAGAGAAAACTGAGGCCAGAAAGTGATGGAGCTTGCCCAGGACCCCAGAGGGTGTTAGAGGCAGGCCAGAACCAGAGGACAGCTCTGTCCCAGCACTTGCCCTCCTTTAATTAGGTGGGTGGTCATATCGCAGTGGTCAGAGACATTGCAAACAATAATAATAAATATTGAGCACTTGTTACACGCAGGGCACTATGCTAAGCACCTTGTATTTGTTATGTCCTTTCATCCTAGCAACTTCTCTGGAAGTGGAGTAATATCTCCCCCATGTCCTACATAAGACAATGGATACACTGGAGGGTTAAAGCCATGCCTTGCCTAAAGTTACACAGCTGTGCTTAACAGCTGGAAAACCCCAAAGGGTCCCTCTGACTCAGCCCCTGTGTGCTCAGTTTTAATTTTGGGAGGGAAATAACAATGCCACCTTATAATACTTTCTAAGAATGAGAATTTTGTTCAGTGAAGTGGCCTTCTAGAGCTGGAAAATGAATTCATATACTCTTCATATTTTTAACAAGGATGTCGTAGTTAATTGATCCGTAGCCAGGAAGTTAGATTAACCAGGACACTTCTGGCCCCAAGCACTCTAGCTAGTTGATTAATGGAGACATTGCCATGCCAGCTAAGTGGCTTTGGAGTGCAAAATAGGATGAATTGCTCTTAGCAGAGACCTAAATCCTAAACTCAAATCCTCACATTTGGGCAGGTGATCAATGCTTAGGGAGCATCTCCTGCCCAAATGCGAGGATTTGAGAGGGACAGTCGCCTATACAGGTTCACAGAACTGACTGGCAGGACCAAGACGAGTCCTCTTGTATCCGAAGCCCAAACCCTTAATCTTGAAGCTCAGTAGCAAACCAACAAAAGACTGTTGCAGTCAGGCGTACGCCACGTTTACTTTTCCATTGCCAGGACTGGTAAGCCGAAAAGGCACCACAGAGGATCCATGAGAACGGGTACGTAAAGCATACAGATTAGAATTTTGGCTTTGTCACAAAGGCACTTGAAGGAGTCAACCCCTTGGAGGAGACTTTCAACATTCATTCAACAAATATTTACTATGAGCACTGGGGAGCCCACAGTGAACAGGATGTTCAAGGCCTGGGCTCTCAAGGATTTTACATTCTAAGGACGAAGAAAGTGGGGCTGGGTGGGGACGGGGAGAGACAAGAAATATAAAGAGACTGTTAAGTGCTATTAGGGCAATAAAACTGGATAATATGACAAAACAGGGATGGAGTGGGACTGTTTAGTTAGTAGCCAGGTATGAGAAATTTGAGTTGAGATCTGCATGATACGAAAGAAGGAAGCTGGTTGGGTGCAGTGGCTCATGCCTACAACCCTAACACTTTGGGAGAACGAAGCAGGTGGCTCACTTGAGCTCAAGAGTTTGAGACCAGCCTGGGCAACATGGCAATATCCTGTCCCTACAAAAAAATACAAAAAAATAGCTGGGCGTGGTGGCAGGTACCCATAGTCGCAGCTACTCAGGAGGCTGAGGTGGGAGGATCACCTGAGCATGGGGATTCGAGGCTGCAGTGAGCCATGATTGCACCACTGCACTTCCAGCTTGGGCAACAGAGTGAGACCATGTCTCACAAAAAAGGAAAGAAAGAAAAAAGAAAGTCATGCTGAAAGAAAAGCATTGCGCGCAGAGAGAAAAACAACTGCAAAGGCCCTGAGGCAGGAATGAAGCCTGGCCCATTGGAGAACGTCTGGAATAGCTCTGTCTAACAAATACAGTGTGAGTCATGGGCATCATTTTAAATTTTCTAGCAGCACATTTTAAAAACAAAAAGAAACTGGTAAAATTAATTTTAATATGTTTAATTTTTTATTTTATTATTATTATTATTATTATTATTATTTTTTGAGACGGAGTCTTGCTTTGTTGCCCAGGCTGGAGTACAGTGGCATGATCTGGGCTCACTGCAACCTCCGCCTCCCAGGTTCAAGTGATTCTCCTGCCTCAGCCTCCTGAGTAGCTGGGATTACAGGCGTGCGCCACCACGCCCAGCACATTTTTGCCTTTTTAATAGAGACGGGGTTTCACCATTTTGGCCAGACTGGTCTCGAACTCCTGACCTCAGGTGATCCACCCGCCTCAGCCTCCCAAAGTGCTGGGATTACAAGCGTGAGTAACCACACCCGGCCTGATTTTATTATGTTTTATTAAGCCAAGAGACAAAAAAAAAAATTAATGACATTTACCTTTTTTTGTTTCCTACTAAATCTTCAAAGTCTGGTGTGGGTAGGAGCACATTTCAAGCGCTCAGTGGCCACATGCAGGTACCTAGTGGCTAGCATTGGGCAGGCCAGTGTGGGTGGTCCTAGGAGCCTTGGGAGGGTTTTAAGTCAGGGGTCAGAACTAATGGATTCTAATGATTCAGAACATCCCAGCTAGTTCTTGGAATCTCAGAGGCGAAAGCTCTCCTTGTACTCTTTGGCGACGCTGCCTCCTGGCGCAGGTCGCTGCACACAGAAGGGAAAGCCCCCAGCTCTCCTTCCCGGCGGAGGCTTCTTCCCTCCCCCCAGAGTCTGGTTCAGAGGAAGCCAACGCCTGTGCACGTGGGAAAGCAGCGTGGCTGGCCCTGGGCCTGGAGCCACCTCCCGGGCCCACTCTGCCAGGCCCCATTCTAGATGCCAGCAGGCCGGCCCCGCCCCTTGGACACGGTTTTGGTTTTCGGGTGCAAACAGTCTACATTCCTCTGAAGAGGCCCGCTCCGGCCTCATCAGAGCTGGCGAAATCAACGAGAGAAACAGGGGACGTCGGCCCGCAGTTCCCGCGAGCGCCACGAGGGGCGCACGCAGATGAGGCTCGCAGCGTTGGCTGCCGCTGAAGCTCCTGGAAGTCCCCCTTGTCCTCTTCCCCGTGGAGACCCCAGGCGTACCACCACGATGTTCCTTCCACCAGCCTCACCCTGAACCCAGTAAACTCTCCCTCGAGCGATGACTTAGGTTCTCCAGGGTCCCAGGCCTTGTGGGAAAGTGCCCGCAGAGCAGGCCAGAGACAAAGGAAAGAGCGGGTAGCTGAGACTCGGGAAGCCCATCCGCTTGATATGGGGATAGGTGGAGACTACGGTGAATCCAAAGTCTGTGGGTTCCGAGACTGGAGCCAGGAACAAAAAAAGATTCCACTGTTCGGATGTTTTCATCCCTGAGGCTGAAATAACAGCTGAGGCCTGACTACTCACGTGGTGTCTGTGGCCAGAATAGGACCCACATAATAATGGCTTAGCTCAGGGAAGGGACTTTCTCATTCCATAGCGCAATACCGTCATAAAGGCAACAACAATGGACGCCTCGCCTCTGCCCTCTCCATATTTCTGTGCTTTCCAATGGCATCCCCAAAACAGTGTGACAACGCTTCACTACTGGAGGACCCTGGAGGGACCTAGAGTTGGCCGATTGCTAGAGGAGTAAGAGATTGGCCCAGATGGTTCCTCACCTGTTAGTTCACCCTCCCTCAGCCACTTGTTAGCAAGAGAAGGCTGTTTGGGGTGGGCTTTCTGGTAGGGAGGGGGTCATACTCATCTTTCTAGAAAAACTATCCCTGGAAGGGGGTCATACTCATCTTTCTAGGAAAACTATCCCTGGATTGTGTTTGACAACGCTTTTGCAAGAAAGCATCCAGCTTGAGGAGTAGCTTACCTCAAACAGCCCTAATGATATGGCACAGCCAGCTCACCAAGGAATGTACAAGCTGCATTTCCAAAGCTGCAAGACGAAACCAAATGACTACGTATGCCCTGGACAGAGTACGATTAGGAGGATATGAAGAAAGCAAGCCTTGGCCAGTCGCGGTTGCTCGTGCCTGTAATCTCAGCGCTTTGGGAGGCCGAGGCAGGGGGATCATTTGAGGTTAGGAGTTCGAGACCAGCCTGGTCAACACGGTGGAACCCCGTCTCTATTAAAAATACAAAAACTAGCCAGGCGAGATGGTGCACGCCCGTAATCCCAGCTGCTCCAGAGGCTGAAGCAAGAGAATAGCTTGAACTTGGGAGCCAAGATCGTGCCACTGCACTCCAGCCTGGGCGACAAAGTGAGACTCCATCTCAAAAGAAAAAACAAAGGAAAAAAGAAAGCAAGTCTTGGTTTGAGAAGAGCACGTTGACGAGGTGGGTCATAAACAGGAAAAGTCAAAGAAAAAGAAAACAGTCTGGGTGGGGCACAGTTGCTCATGCCTGTAATCCCAGCACTTTGGGAGGCCGAGGTGGGCAGATCACCTGAAGCCAGGAGTTTGAGACCAGTCTGCCCAGCGTGACAAAACTCCGTCTCTACTAAAAATACAAAAATTAGCTGGGTGTGGTGGTGCACACCTGAAGTCCCAGCTACTGGGGAGGCTGAGGTGGGAGGATCACCTGAGCCCAAGGAGGTCAAGGCTGCAGTGAGCCATGATCACGCCACTGCACTCCAGCCTGGGCAACAGAGTGACACGCTGTCTCAAAGAAAATAAATAAATAAAGAAGACAGTGTGGAAGGGGCCTGAGAAAAGTGTAGGATTTGGAAACGGAAGGAAGAAGAGAAGAGTGTGACCTCTTATTAAGTGCCTTCTGTACCTCCAATGGACCATAGCCTCTACTAAAAAGTACTTGCATGTACTTTGAATGTATTTAGTCCTCATAGTAACCTTCTGAGGGCAGGTCCAAATCCATAATGTCTGCAATTCCAAGTTTCTGAAAGCTCTGAAAAAGTGGAAACACTTTTGTAACTTATTTGGTGGTGAAACCTAATTTATAATAACATGAGTATCCCACTCAGTGTGAATAGTAATACTTTTGCTGTGAAAAACACTAATGTGTTTGATATTTGCGGGCTGCCCTAGACTCCAGTTGGGTGTTGTGTAATTTATATACATGTACTTGCTGCCTTTCTAAAATCCAAAACATTCTGAATTGAGACATATCTGGCCTGGAGAGGTTTTTTTGTTTGTTGGTTTGTTTTGTTTTGTTTTTTTGAGACGGAGTCTGGCTTTGTTGCCAGGCTGGAGTGCAGTGGCATGATCTCTGCTCACTGCAACCTCCGCCTCCTGGATTCAAGTGATTCTCCTGCTTCAGCCTCCTGAGTAGCTGGGACTATAGGCATGCGCCACCAGGCCCAGCTAATTTTTGTATTTTTAGTAGAGACGGGATTTCACCATGTTGGCCAGGATGGTCTCAATCTCTTGACCTCATGATCTGCCCACTTTGGCCTCCCAAAGTGCTGGGATTACAGGCGTGAGCCACTGCGCCTGGCCTGGCCTAGAGAGTTTTAAGTCAGGGATTGTGGGCTTGTATTATTCCCACTTTTTTTTTTTTTTTTGAGACAGGGTCTCACTCTGTCACCCAGGCTGGAGTGTAGTGGCACAATCACAGTTCATTGCAGCCTTGACCTCCTGGGCTCAGGTGATTCTCCCACCTCAGCCTCCCAAGTAGCTGGGAGTACAGGCATGCTCCACCATGCCCAGCTAATTTTTGTATTTTTTTGTAGAGATGGTGTTTGCCATGTTACCCAGGCCAGTCTCAAGCTCCTGAGCTCAAGTGATTAGCCTGCCTCGACCTCCCAAAGTGCCAGGATTACAGGTGTGTGCCACTACACCTGGCCTATTATTCCCACTTTACAAATGAGAAAGCTGAGGCTCAGTAAGGAAAGCAACACGTACTGGGCCACTGAGGTGTCAAATTTGATGTCAAAGTCGAAGACTGCAGTCCTGGTTCAGTTTCAAATAAGGGACTGTGATGCCACGAAGCAGAACGAAGACTGAGCCTGGATCACAATGCAATGGCCTGGCTGGAGAGAAAGTTGCATGGGTCATTTATAGCTCACAGAGGCAAAGGTAACCTACCTAAGAATGGATCCAGAAGGCAAAAGGGACTGCCCTGCCCTCAAGAGATGTCGGTATCTCCAGTGTGCTGGGAATGGGGCTCTAGGTAGGGCAAGATGCCTCGGCATGGTGGCTCTGAGATCTGAATCCAGAGATCCACAGCTGTGGATTAGCAAGCTACTCTGTTTCTCTATATGTTGGTTTCGCCTTCTACAATATGGAGCTAGTAATCATATTTGCCTCCTAGAGCTGACATCAATATTAAATAAAATATGTTTGAAATAATTGAGCATAGTGCCTGGAACATAGTGAGCCTTCAATGAACATTAGCTGTCACTATTATTACTCTCAAAGATGAGCATGCATACCTCTTGGGGAGTTCCAAGTCTCAGTATAGATGTGGTGAATATTCTTGGATTGGCAGTTTTACTTGTTTTCAAGTAATTTAAGTCTTTATCTTTTCCCCCATTAAAACTGGCACAGAATGAATATACTTAAAACTACTGAAACTTAAAAATAGTTGGGCCGGGCGTGGTGGCTCACGCCTGTAATCCCAGCTCTTTGGGAGGCCGAGGTGGGCGGATCACAAGGTCAGGAGATCCAGACCATCCTGGCTAACACGGTGAAACCCCGTCTCTACTAAAAATACAAAAAAATTAGCCGGGCGTAGTGGTGGGTGCCTGTAGTCCCAGCTACTCGGGAGGCTGAGGCAGGAGAATGGCATGAACCCGGGAGGCAGAGCTTGCAGTGAGCCAAGATCACGCCACTGCACTCCAGCCTGGGCAACAGAGTGAGACTCCCTTTCAAAAAAATTAAAAAAAATAGTTATGATGGTAAATTTTACGTTTATTTTACTATAATTAAAAACTGGTGAAACCCTGTCTCTACTAAAAATACAAAAATTAGGCTGGGCGCAGTGGCTCACACCTGTAATCCCAGCACTTTGGGAGGCCAAGGTGGGTGGATCACGAGGTCAGGAGTTTGAGACCAGCCTGGCCAACATAGTGAAACCCTGTCTCTACTAAATATACAAAAAATTAGCCAGGCGTGGTGGCGGGTGCCTGTAATCCCAGCTATCTGGGAGGCTGAGGCAGGAGAATCACTTGAACCTGGGAGGAGGAGGTGGCAGTGAACCGAGATTGCGCCACTGCACTCCAGCCTGGGCGACAGAGTGAGACTCCATCTTTAAAAAAAGAAAAAAAAACTAAAATTTTAAAGACTGGCACAGATCTATTAGGGAATAGAGTGCAAAAGCACTTGAATAAAAATGAGATTTTAAGGACTTCCTAGCAGTTGGGGTTTGGGGGATATGGACTGATTGGGGGGAAGGTAGAGAGGCAGAGTTTACAAATAAACTCTCTCAGAGGACTTGTCTGCCCACTTTACTGAACTTGACCCAGGGTTATAGAGTTTGATGAGCTCTGTAAGCATAGGCAAATCAAAGTTCTGCAAATCTTCAGAACACTAATATTCATGGGCACTTTTGTCACATGTTTTAGGTCCTACGCTGGACATCAGGGCAGACACAGGTGTGACAAGCTCCCTGGGTTAATGGTGGGAACATAAATGTATAGAGACAACATTAACAAGCACAGAACTCACTAAGTGCGATGAGGGGTGTTTGGAATTCTGTGAACACTTTGAAGGGCTTTGGGGAAAGAATAACTATCTCTGCAAAGGCAACAAGGAGTTGGGAAAATGTTGTAAAAAAAAAAAACAACCCCCAAGCATGGTTGAGAGTACTTTCACTAGTCAGTGAGTCTCATCAGCAGCACCTGGAGAGCCTGTTCGAACACAAGTGGCTGGTCCCCATGCCCAGTGTTTCTGATTCAGTAGGTTTAAGATGGGGCCCAACGTTGGCATTTCTTTTCTTTCTTTTTTTTTGAGACGGAGTCTCACTCCGTCGCCCAGGCTGGAGGGCAGTGGCGTGACCTTAGCTCACTGCAACCTCCACCTCCCAGGTTCAAGTGATTCTCCTGCCTCAGCCTCCTGAGTGGCTGGGATTACAAGTGCCCGCCACCACCCAGACTAATTTTTGTAGAGATGGGGTTTCACCATGTTGGCCAGGCTGGTCTCAAACTCCTGATCTCAGGTGATCCGCCTGTCTCAGCCTCCCATAGTGCTGGGATTACAGGCGGGAGCCACTGTGCCCAGCCCACATTGGCATTTCTAACAAGCTCCCTGGTGATGCTGCTTCTCTGGCCCAGGGGCTGCACTATGAGAACCACTGAGCTGGATCAAGAGGAGGAGAAAGGACCTACCATGAGGTTGGGGAAAGGATGTGCAAAGACACAGAGGAGTGAGAAGGCCACAGGTGTTCAGAGGGCGATGAGCAAATCCGTGAGGCTCCAGCATGTGGGCTGCCAGGTGCCAGATGATGGAGGGTTCATGTGCCAAGCCCAGGAGTTTGGACTGGATCCTGGAAGTGAAGGACGTCTAAAGGAGGTTCTTGTGGAGGGAAGAATACAAAAAGACTAGCAGTTCTGCAAGATCACTTTGGAGGACAGGTGGGGTGGGGAGGAGAAAATGGAGGCCAAAAGACTAGTTAGGAGGCTTTCACCACTAGTCTGTCAGATCCCACTAGCCAGAGTCCCAGGAGTAGGGAGAAATCAGAAACTCAGACAAGCAGCAGTTCCTGTAAAAGAGCAACCTGGACCACCACTGAGTGGGCAGTAAGTAGTGAGCCCAGGAGCAAATACTTTATGTGCTTCACCTCTTCACATACTCCTCACAGCCTTGGGATCAGGTGTTCACATCAAAGCTCAGAGAAGTTCAGGAACCAGACCAAGGTTAGGATGCAGCCAGATTCAAACCCGGGTGAAACCCATTCTCTCTCCAGCACTCCGCATTTCCCCACAGTCTAGATTCTTTAGGAGCCTGCCCCATTATTTCAGGTGCTTTGAGGCTATGTGTGCTGTAGGCATATGTGTTGTGAGTGCTCAGTGTGTGTGTTGGGTGGGTGTGTGTTCCGGGTATGTGTGTGTCGTGTGTGCACGTCTAGGTGGGTGTGAGTATGCAGTGTCTGTGTTATGTCTGCTGGATACTGCTAGATAGTTGCCTCCCAATCCCCTCCTCTCCCTCTTGTCACTGAAGGTGAAAGAGTCTCTTTGGAAATATTCATGGGGACAGAGAGAGCCAGGAAGGGAGGACTTTCCCATGCATTCAGTTTTTCCCATGATACATCAGGCAGTAAAGAAGAATGTCATCCTGACCATCGGCTTCCCTGACATAACGCTGAATAATTCTCAGACACTCGCAGGCCAGTTGAAGACAGCATAAAGCCAGCCCTGCAAAAATCCCGGGGACAATAGGAATAGTGGTGAGAACTTACTTGTTAGGTAGAGGTTTTTTTTTCATGGACTCAACTCAGGAACCAGCCAAAGGGAGAGATGTGAAATAATGAAAGAGGAAAGGATGGCAGGCCGGGAAGGATCACTGACTTGGAGTAAGAAAAGCTGAGTTCGGCCAGGTGCAGTGGCGCACGCCTGTAATCCCAGCACTTTGGGAGGCCAAGGTAGGCAGATCATGAGGTCAAGAGATCGAGACCATCACCAACATGTGAAACCCCATCTCTACTAAAAATACAAAACTTAGCTGGGTGTGGTGGCGTGCGCCTGTAGTCCCAGCTACTCAGGAGGCTGAGGCAGGAGAATCACTTGTACCTGGGAGGCAGAGGTTGCAGTGAATCAAGATTGCGCCACTGCACTGCAGTCTGGTGACAGAGTGAGACTCCATCTCAAAAAAAAAAAAAGAGGCCGGGCACGGTAGCTCACGCCTGTAATCCCAGCGCTTTGGGAGGCCGAGGAGGGCGGATCATGAGGTCAGGAGATCAAGACCATCCTGGCTAACACGGTGAAACCCCGTCTCTACTAAAAATACAAAAAAAATTAGCCGGGCGTGGTGGCGGGCGCCTGTAGTCCCAGCTACTCGGGAGGCTGAGGCAGGAGAATGGCATGAACCCAGGAGGTGGAGCTTGCAGTGAGCCAAGATAGCGCCACTGCATTCCAGCCTCTGCGACAGAGCGAGACTCTGCCTCAAAAAAAAAAAAAAGAAAGAAAAAGAAAGAAAAGCTCGGTTCAGGACTCCCAGCAGCCACTTACTGCTGTGTGACCTTGGACAAATCCCTTCCCCTCTCTGGGCCTCAGTTTTCTCAACCAGTCAAATTCAGTAGATGGATTAGATTAAGCCCCTTTCCAGCTTTGATGTTCTGTGCTTTTTCCTTTTTAAATGCACCTGACTGTGACTTTTCCAGGAAAACATCAAACATTTCAAAGGGCAAGCTTCTATGTTTGCCAGGCATCTTTTGTCACTCTTCGGCTGGCCTTGTCTACACTTCATGTTCAGGGGATTTTCTGTGATGCATGCGGTCTCTAATTTCTCGAGTTATATTTCCTTGTTTCTATGGGTTGACTGTTGCAGAAACAGGGCACTTTTTTTTTTAAACAAATATGCAGTCCCATGCCAACAGGAATATCCTGTTTACAGAAGCCTCCTTTTACAAGGTACCAGCTGTTTGAAAACATTTGTGTATTGCCACATAGAATAATCTCCCCATAAGCAACTATTTTTTTCCTAGTAACATCATTTTCTGCAATGCAATCATATAGTGGGAGAGAGCCCCTTGAAAAGCAAATATCCCACGTGCTTATCATGTTAATCTGGTTTCTTCCTCTCCTTCTATATTAGTTTTCTCAGGCTGCTGTGACAAAAGATAGTCATGTGCCACATAATAAGGTTTCGCTCAACAATGATCCCCATATACAATGCCTGTAAGTTTATAATACTGTGTTTTGACTGTCCCTTTTGTATGTTTAGATAGGTTTAAATACACAAATACTTACCATTGTGTTACAGTTGCGCACATAATTCAGTATGGTAACATGCTGTCCAGGTTTGTAGCCTAGGAGCGCTAGGCTATGCGATATAGCCTAGGTTTATAGTAGGCTCTATCAGCTAGGTTTGTGTAAGTACACTCTATGATGCTTCAATGACAAGATCGCCTAACAATGCATTTCTCAGAAAATATCCCCACTCTTGGCCGGGCACGGTGGCTCATGCCTGTAATCCCAGCACTTTGGGAGGCCGAGGTGGATGGATCGCCTGAGGTCAGGAGTTTGAGACCAGCCTGACCAACATGGTGAAACCCCATCTCTACTAAAAATACAAAACTACCAGAGTGTGGTGGTGCATGCCTGTAATCCTAGCTACTTGGGAAGCTGAGGAAGGAGAATCACTTGAACCCAGGCGGCAGAGGTTGCAGTGAGCCAAGATCTTGCCATTGCACTCCAGCCTGGGCAATGAGAGCAAAATTCCGTCAAAAAAAAAAAAAAAAAAAGAAAAGGAAGGAAGGAAAGAAAGAAAGAAGAAAGAGAGAGAAAGAAAGAAAGAAAGAGAGAGAGATAGAAAGAAAGAAAATATCCCCACTCTTAAGGGATGCATGACTGTACTGCTACCTGAGTGCCCTAAACAACAGAAATTTATTGTCTGACAACTCTGGAGACTAGAAGTACAAGATCAAGGTGTTGACAGGGTTGGTTCCTTCTGAGGGCTGTAAGGAAGAATCTGTTCCATGCCTCTCCCCTTGCTCCTGGCAGTTGTCTGGTAACCTTTGCTGTTCCTTGACTTGTAGAAGCATCACCACAATTTCATCTTCACATGGCATTCTCCCTGTGTGCATGCCTGTGTCCAAATCTCCCTTTTATTTTATTTATTTATTTATTTAATTTTTTTTTAGATGGAGTCTCACTCTGTCACCCAGGCTGGAGTGCAGTGGCCTGATCTTGGCTTACTGCAAGCTCCACCTCCCAGGTTCACGCCATTCTCCTGCCTCAGCCTCCTGAATAGCTGGGACTACAGGTACCCGCCACCATGCCTGGATAATTTTTTTTGTATTTTTAGTAGAGACGGGGTTTCACCGTGTTAGCCAGGATGGTCTCAATCTCCTGACCTCGTGATCCGCCCGCCTCGGCCTCCCAAAGTGCTGGGATTACAGGCATGAGCCACCGCGCCTGGCCCCAAATCTCCCTTTTATAAGAACACCAGTCATACTGGATTAGGGGCCACCCTACTCCAGTATCACCTCATTTCACTTAACAAATTATACCTGCAACAATGCTGTTTCCAAAGAAGGTCACATTCTCAGGTACTGAGGTTAGGAGTTGGACATATGAATTAGTGACATGTGAATTTGACATATGATTTTTTTTTTTAAGTGTGCACTTTTATTCAACTGGTCCAAGTCAGTGTACAGGCAAGCCCTGGCTGACTCCAGCACTCCCAGGGAGACAGAAGGCTTTCATACATCTTAAGTTGGGGGACAAAAAAGGAGGGGGTCACAAAGGCTGATCATTCAAAATAAAACAAAATAAAAAAGTATTAAGGCGAAGATTTAAAAAATTTTGCACTTTGTAATTTTTTTTTGTTTTGTTTTGAGATGGAATCTCGCTCTTGTCACCCAGGTTGGAGTGCAGTGGCGCAATCTCAGCTCACTGGAACCTCCACCTCCCGGGTTCAAGTGATTCTTCTGCCTCAGCCTCATGAGCAACTGGGATTATAGGCGCCTGTCACCACGCCTGGCTAATTTTTGCATTTTTAGTAGAGACGGGGGTTTCACCATGTTGGTCAGGCTGATCTCAAACTCCCGACCTCAGGTGATCCGCCTGCCTCAGCCTCCCAAAGTCCTGGGATTACAGGCATGAGCCACCGCACCCTGCCTGCACTTCGTAATTTCCATGAAAGCAATGCTATCACCTCCCCTGTGTGGACTCGGGAAAGGACTGGGCCATTCTCCTTAGAGAGGAGTGGGGTGCTTTTGGGAGGGCAAGGGACTTCCTTTGACATATGAATTAGTGGGGGAAGAACACAAAACAGAACACCTTTGCTCATCAACTTTTCTGTGAGGTGTGCGGTACTACCTTGGGGCTCAAGAAAATTCTGAATGTTCAGGTTCAGCGTCAACATAGGACTACCCTGTTCTTCACAGTAACAAAATCCTTTGCAGGAGTTTGCCGTGAGCAAGACTCTTCATATATATCCTCTCCTTAGATACAAATACCAGCTTCTGGAGGTGGGTTGCAAGGAGAGAGACAGATTGTCCAAGCTGGAGGATTCCACTAGTCTTGGATTTGAATCCCAAGTCAAACAATATTGGGTGAGGATTTTCTGATGATTATGCAAAAAGAAAACTAAAATCCCCCACATTTCTGACTAAGGAGGACAGCTAGTTAGATAGAAAGTGTTCCATTGTTAAACAGCTGTCTTCTTCAGCAATCACACAGAAAGGAAAACACCTTAGAGTATATGGTAGCATATGCTTTTGGGGGAAAACAAAAGTATCATATGGCCAGGCACAGTGGTTCACAGGCATTTTGGGAGGCTCATGTGGGAGGATCACTTGAGCCCAGGAATTCAAGACTAGCCTGGGCAACGTAGTGAGATCTCATCTCTACAAAAATTAAAAAAATTAACCAGGTGTGGTTGTGCACGTCTGTAGTCCCAGCTACTCAGGAGGCTGAAGTAGGAGGATTGCTTGAGTCTGGAATGTTGAGGCTGCAGTGAGCCATGCACTGCCCTCCAGCCTGATTGACAAAGCAAGGCTCTGTCTCAAAAAACAAACAAACAAACAAACACAGTATCATATGTGCGTTTTTAGAGATAAAAAGGTTACCACTCTCTAAGTGAGTGAAAACATTTAGGAGACACATTGAAGCCAGAAGTGCAATCTTTTGTTTACAAATAATTGTTGAGCACTTAGTATGTTTCAGATGTCTGCTAACTAGCTTTGAATATATACAGATTACCAAAAAAGAAAATAAGCCCACAACACCTTAAATAGTCCCCCCGTGTGACACAGGTATGCAGCCATGAGGAGTGCAACTACAAGAAGAGTAGTTAACCATACCCGACCCAGAGGCTGCCGTGAAATCTATCACTGTTTTTGTACCAGCCACACTTCCCACAGGCTGCTTCTTGGTTTGACTGAGTGTGGCAGGCAATCCACAGCAGCCCTGTTCCTAGAGATGCTGGACTCCTGTGATAGGTGCCACTGGTTCAGGGACTCCCCAACACACCTGCTGAACTTTCTTTAGACTGAATGGCAGCCTAGGATTCCTCTACCCACGCTTCCTCCCTTATTGCCTTCACTTTGGGACAGAATTGCATCCACCTGCGGTCTGCCTCTTGCGACAACTCTACAGACAACTTATTTCCCTTTCCCACCCCTGGAGCTCCCTCAACTTCCCACTACTCCCTCCTGGTTTTCTCTCACAGGCATTTGTCCTAATGAAATCCCTGTGTGTTTAAACCCATCTTAGCATCTGCTTCTTGGAGGACCTGAACAAGAGGTGACTAAGACTTAGTAGCTTCACAACCATGAGGAGATATCACCTTGCATCCCTTAGGATAGTGATATCAATAAAAACAACAACAGAAAAGATCAACTGTTAGGCCGGGCGCGGTGGCTCACGCCTGTAATCCCAGCACTTTGGGAGGCCCAGGCAGGTGGATCAGGAGGTCAGGCGTTCGAGACCAGCCTGGCCAACATAGTGAAAACCTGTCTCTACTGAAAATACAAAAAATTAGCTGGGCGTGGTGGTGGGCACCTGTAATCCCAGCTACTTTGGAGGCTGAGGCAGGAGAATCGCTTGAACCTGGGAGGTGGAGGTTGTAGTGAGCCAAGATGGCGCCACTGCACTCTAGCCCGGGCGACAGTGTGAGACTCCGTCTCAAAAAAAAAAAAACAGTCGTGGTGACTGTTGCACAACGATGTGAATGTATTTAATGTCACTAAACTGTACATTAAAAATGACTAAAAGGTCAAGTGTGGTACCTCACGCCTGTAATCCGAGCACTTTGGGAGGCCGACACGGGTGGATTACCTGCAGTCAGGAGTTTGAGACCAGCCTGGCAAACGTGGCAAAACCCTATTTCTACTAAAAATACAACAATTAGCTGGGTATGGTGGCACACACCTGTAATCCCAGCTACTTGGGAGACTGAGGCATGAATATCACTTGAACCCGGGAGGCGGAGGTTGCAGTGAGCCAGGATTGCGCCACTGTACTCCAGCCTGGGCTATAGGGACTGTCTCAAAAAATAAAAATAAAAATGACTAAAGCAACTGGGTGCAGTGGCTCTCGCCTGTAATCCCAGCACTTTGGGAGGCGAAGGTGGGCAGATCACCTGAGGTCTGGAGTTCAAGACCAGCCTGGCCAACATGGTGAAACCCCAGTCTCTACCAAAAATACAAAAAAATTAGCCAGGTGTGGTGACACGTGACTGTAGTCCCTTCTACTCAGGAGGATGAGGCACAAGAATCACTTGAGCCCGGGAGGCAGAAGTTGCAGTGAGCCGAGATCATGCCACTACACTCCAGCCTGGGCGACAGAGTGAGATTCTGTCAAAAAAAAAAAAAATGGTTAAAGTGACTCGGGAGGCTGCGGTGGGAGGATCACTTGAGCCCAGGGGGTCAAGAATGCAGTGAACTGTGATGGTGCCACTGCACTCCAGCCTGTGTGATACAGTGAGATGCTGGCTGAAAAAAAAAAAAGAAAAGAAAAATAAATTAAAACAGAAAAATGATTAAATGATAAATTTTTATGTTACATATATTTTACCACAAATAAAAAATGTTTTAAAAACAAAAAAATTCTTGACTTTTGGAGAGTGACAAACTTGGAAGTCGGGAACCAGGAGGCAGTTTGGTTTGGGGTGGAGAGCCCTGGGCTTTTAGGTCAAGGGACACTGGTTTAAGGGAGTGATACGGTCAGAGCCTCTGTGTAGGCCAAGGAGTCCCTGATGTTGCCTCCAGGCTGCCGGACAGCTCACTGTGTCACCCTCATGAAGTGACTGCTCACATTTCTCTAGAAATAGGGAGCTCCCTCTGCCACCAAGCAGTGCTGACTTGTTAGAAATTTCCTCTTGAGGAGCTCCAGTGGCGCTTGGTTAGGGCATGGTACTTATGCAGAAAGGACCTCTTGATATGGAACCCAAGTTTGCATCGTTGTTCTGACCTTTGGGAACACTCAGGACAACTCTGTTTCCCTTCCCAGCCCTTCTCCATCTGCATGCCAATTGCTCCCTCACTCTACCCTCCTCCCAAAGGAATGCTGTTTACTCCAGGGACAAACAGCCCAAGGCAGGATTCCCAGCACCCCTTCATCCCTCTACCCAGCACCTGTCCATGGGTTGAAACACCCATGGATGAATGCCAAATCCTGTTGAAAAGTGCTTGGGGGTACCTGGATGAAAAGGCCAAAGAGGTGTAGGGCAGGGTGTTTATTCTTCAAAAGACCTAAGTGGTCCAAAGGCCTGTGTTTGCCAGTTTACCACTTGAAAACCGAAACTAACCTAATCTTTTCACTGTCAAGATAGTCCGTGTTTATACCTCATTTCAAGGAGCTGCATGATTCACCAGACAGCTGATAGTGATCAGAAAACATGTTTAGTATTCGTTTACTACTTTATAAGCTTGTATTTTAGACAACAGAGGGGTCAGAGGCCAGGTACAATGGCCCAGCACTTTGTGTAATCCCAGCACTTTGGGAGGCTGAGGCAGGCAGATCATCTGAGGTCAGGAGTTCGAGACCAGCCTGGGCAACATGGCAAAACCCCGTCTTTACTAAAAACACAAAAATTAGCTGGGCGTGGTGGCATATGCCTATAATCCCGGCTACTTGGGAGGCTGAGGCAGGAGAACCACTTAAACCTGGGAGACAGGGTTGCAGTGAGCAGAGATTGCACCACTGCACTCCAGCCTGGGCAACAGAGCAAGACTCTGTCTCAAAAAAAAAAAAACAAAAAACAAAAAGAGAGAGAGAGGGACAGAGAAAGGCAATGGCTCTTAGAAGATTTCCCCTAAGTGAACCATTTTGGTCATTTAAATACATCCTTTGTCCCCCACTATACCAAGAAAGCACTAGATGCCACATGCATACATGGCCAGGCTTTTCTATCTGGGAGTTTTTATTTGCAAAGAGATAAAATATAGACCTAGGCACAGGTCACAGTGGTTTGGCCAAATATCCAGAAGACAGAAAAGGAGAAGATACTTCCTTTCATACTTTCCTTTTAGCCTTTTATCTTCAAACTGTGATTATGAGAAGTAGTTAGGGGCTTGGGCTTGTCAAGGAACCCAGGTTCAAATCCTAGCTTTTATATACCGTGGACAGGCTATACAATTGCTCTGTGCCTCAGTTTTCTTGTCGGTAAATTTGGGATAAAAATAGTGACTCCTGGCCGGGCTGGGTGGCTCACGCCTGTAATCCCAGCCTTTGGGAGGCCGAGGTGGGTGGATCATGAGGTCAGGAGTTCAAGACCAGCCTGGCCAAGATGGTGAAACCCCGTCTCTACTAAAAAATACAAAAATTAGCTGGGCACAGTGGCGGGGGCCTGTAATCCCAGCTACTCTGGAGGCTGAGGCAGGAGAATCGCTTGAACCCGGAAGGCGGAGTTTGCAGTGAGCCAAGATCACACCATTGCACTCTAGCCTAGGCATCAGAGCAAGACTCTGTCTCAAAAAAAAAAAAAAAAAAAAAAAAATAGTGACTCCTGTAGAAGGGTATGAGTATGAATAACAGCCAGAAATTACTGGAAATTTTCTGTGGGCTAGGCATCGTGCTAAATCATTTATATACGTTGTCTCATTTAATCCTCAAGCCCAGGATGATCTAATCCCAAAGCATATGATCTTAACCACAGTGTGACACCTCATTTTATTAATTGAGGGATGCTTGTTAAAAAAAAAAAAAAAAGTAAGCCCAGCCTCAGTACAATAAGTTGCAGCATTTCCCTTCTACATGTGGCATGTGGACCTGAGGTTCAGAGAGATTAAACAAAGCTCTCTAGAGTCACAATGCCAGGAGATAATAAAGCCGGGGCTTAGCACTGGATCTTTCCTCCCCAAACACAAACAAAGTGTGCAAAGGCACAGAAGAGACTATCAGGCAGGGAGGAGGGGCTTTGAGCCAGACTTTAAAAGAGGAAAGGAGAGGGAAGAGGGGCAGGGAGGCATTCCAGGCAGGAGACTAGAGCATGGTTAAAGTCCTAGAGACATGGAAGTGCAGGGTGAATCAGAGTTCCGGAAATGGCACACAGGGGAGTGGGCTTGGCTAGGGATGTGGGAGCCAGGTGGGAGGGTATCCTAGGCCAGGTCACGGATACCTCTGAATGCCAGGCCAAGATACATCTGAACATTCACAGATCTTACCATCCAGCAATAAACTTCTTGAGATCTATACCCTAGATAAAGCCCTGCTCCTGTGCACCAGGAGATATACATAAGAATGTTCATAGCAGAATTGTAAATAATGGTCAAAAAAAAAAAACTACAAATAAGCATAATGTCTACCAACAAATAAATAAGATTTTTTTGGCTGGTTGTGGTGGCTCACGCCTGTAATCCCAACGCTTTGGGAGGCTGAGGTGGGTGGATCACCTGAAGTTAGGAGTTCAAGATCAGCCTGGCTAACATGGAGAAACCGCTCTCCACAAAAATACAAAAATTAGCCAAGCATGATGGTGGGTGCCTGTATTCCCAGCTACTTGAGAGGCTGAGGCAGGAGAATCACTTGAACCCAGGAGGCAGAAGTTGCAGTGAGCCGAGATTGCGCCATTGCACTCCAGCCTGAGCGACAGAGGGAGAATCCATCTCAGAAAAAAAAAAAAAAAAGATTTTTTTGTCTATTCACACAGTGGAATACTACACAGAAGTGAACATGAATGAATTAAAGCCACATTCAATAACATGGAAATAATAAGTAAAGAAAACAAGCTGCACACAATGAAGTATTATTCAGCCTTAAAGAAAAGGAAATTCTACGATTTGTGACAACGTAGATGACATTATGTTGGAGGACTTTATGCTAAGTGAAATAAGCCAGCTATAGAAAGACAAATACTGTCCCAGCCACTGGGAGGCTGAGGCAGGAAAATTGCTTGAGCCTGGGAGGCGGAGGCTACAGAGAGTGAAGACTGTGCCATTGCCCTCCAGCCTGGGTGATGGGAGTGAAACCTTGTCAAGAAAGAAAAGAAAGGAAGGGAAGGAGGGAGGGAGGGAGAAAAAACTCTGCATGATCTCGCTTATATGAGGCATCTAAAATAGTCAAACTCATAGAAGAACAGTGGCTGCCAGGGGCTGGTGGAAGGGGAAATAAAGAATTTTTGCTCGATGGGTATAAACTTTTGGTTATGCCAGATGAATAAATTCTAGAGATCTGTAGTACAACACAGCACGTAAAGTTAACAACATGGTGTTGTGCACTTTATGTTAGGCAGGGAGATTTCATGTTTAAGTGTTCTTACTACACACAGAAAGGGAAAAAAAAGAATACAAGGAAGTATTTGGAAGTGTTGGATATGTTCAGAACCTTAGTTGTGATGGTATCACAGGTATAGGCATATGTCCAAACTCACACAGATGTACACATTAAATATTTGCAATTTTTGATATATCGATTATACCTCAATAAAACTTTAGAACATTAGAATATAATGCCTTTTTTTATAAAGCTCAAAACAAGCTAAAAAGGCCGGGCGCAGTGGCTCATGCCTGTAATCCCAGCACTTTGGGAGGCCAAGGCAGACAGATCACCTGAGGTCGGGAATTCAAGACCAGCCTGGCCAACATGACAAAACCCCATCTCTACTAAAAATATAAAAATTATCCGGGCGTGGTGGCCCATGCCTGTAGTCCCAACTACCGGGGAGGCTGAGCAGGAGAATCCCTTGAACCTGGGAGGCGGAGGTTGCAGTGAGCCGAGACCACGCCACTGCATTCCAGCCTGGACCACAGACGAGACTCCGTCTCCAAAAAAAAAAAAAATAATAATAATAATAAATAAAATAATAGATTGTTTTCTTACAAATACACTTGGAGTAAACCCATTATAAAATAAAGGGAATGCAAACACATGGGGCCATGGGGGGTAGTCTGGGGTGGTCTTCGAGGGATGAGTTAGGAAGGACTCACCCCAGTGGATGCAATAACACTAGGAATGTTCTAATCCTTAACTTGGGTAGTGATTTATATGTATTCATCTTTTATTATATAAAAACATATAATTTATATATTTTTTATCTAAAAGCATATATACTCAACTTACATATGTAGTACATGTAACTTTTGTATGCATTATATTTATATTGCCTCCTAATACTAATTTATTTATTTATTTTAATTTTATTTTTTATTTTTTTAAATTTTAAATAGAGACAGTGTCTTGCCACGTTACTTAGGTTGGTCTCGAACTCCTAGCCTCAAGTGATCCTCCCACCTCATCCTCCCAAAGTGCTTGGATTATACCATGCCCGGCCACAATTTTTTTTTTTTTTTTTAGTGTAGAGGACTCTAGTAGAAATGCTCAAATGAATTAAATGAGTGAGATCTAAATTGCAGCCCCTCGTAACTTTTTTCTTTTTGAGATGGGGTCTCACTCTGTTGCCCAGGCTGGAGTGCAGTGGCACGATCTCATTTCACTGCAACCTCCACCCCCTGGATTCAAGCAATTCTCCTGCCTCAGCCTCCCCAGTAGCTGGGATTACAGGTGTGCGCTACCACGCCCAGCTAATGTTTGTATTTTTAGTAGAGATGAGGTTTCACCATATTGGTCAGGGTGGCCTTGAACTCCTGACCTCAAGTGATCTGCCCTTCTCAGCCTCCCAAAGTGCTGGGATTACAGGCACGAACCACCGTGCTCGGCCCCCTTGTAACTCTTGAGAATACAACAAGGTCACTGGAGCAATTCTATTAGATATGTAATACTGTTTCAATCTTTCATTCATTCAGCACCCATTCTCAGTTCCTCTATGTTCCAGAGATTTGGAGATAAAGAATTGGTCCTTGCTCTAGAGGAGCTCAAAGTGTTGGGACAGGTGTGAAATGTAGGAACCCAGAAATATCAAGTAGAGCAAAGCCATGCAATTAGCTCCTGGCTCCTCTGGGCCTTGGATGGTGGCCCCAGGTATGTGCTGTAGAGGAGGCCACGGTTGGCAGGGGTGGAGCTGGTTTCATCACTGGCAGATGTTGTCTTCTGTGCAGGGCCCCCTGTTGCTCTCTGCCCAGGTGAAGGCACCATCACACTGTTACACTTCCGCCAACCCACTATCGAGTGACTGTTTGCAGTCTGACTTCTTGACTTCTAGCTAGTGTGCATCCTCCCATACCCTCCCACCCCCAGTGCCCTGCACAGGACTTGGCAAGTCAGTGTTTGTTGGCTGTGTGAGGCTGTCAGAGTGTCCTGATATTGACCTTATATTTATCAGCTGCTTTGACCACTATGCAGAGTGTGCTGCTTCACACTGGGCTTTATGCTGGGAATATAAGACACAGCTCCAGTCCTCAAGGAGGGCTCACAATTTAGTCATGCCTCTCAGTGCCAGCCTGTTCCTCTCCTCAAACACTTAGGTCATTTTAAAACCCACTGGAAAACTAGATGTGGTCACAGGCACCTGTAGTCCCTGCTACATGGGAGGCTGAGGTAAGAGGATGGCTTGAGCCCAGGAGTTCAAGACAGTAGTGAGCTATGACCATGCCTGTGAATAGCCACAGCACTACAGCCTGGGCAACGTAGCAAGATCCCATCTCTTAATTTTAAAAAACCCTCTGAAAAATAAAGACATTATATTTTTCTTGTGAATCATGTATAAGATGATGAATCAAGTATCATTCCTTTTCTTCATCTTAAAACAACCTCTTTCTCATCTGTCTTGCAGTGAGCTCTTCTCCAGAAGTTGGAGTTAAATCTTAGGGTTTCTGCAGCACCGTGTGTTGCTGAGTGCTGGCGCACACCTGTAATCCCAGATACACCTTGCATGGAGTGACTTATTCACATGTAGGTTCTCCCTGCTGGAATCGATCCTTTTGAGAACAGAGACACATCCTTTATCTCCAACGTTGCCAGAGCCTGGCACAGTGGTGCTGCTCAAGCAGGAGCTGTTGAATGTCTGAAGGAAAGAAATTGTTTCTTGATTTTGATCATACATCTCTCCTCTCAGGCTTTGCCCTTCGAAACCCCAAAGCCCTAATATCCTCCGTGAGCTGCCTGTGTGTGCTGTACCTCGCAGCATCTCAAAAGAGGCCTAAAGCCACATTCTGTAGTCAGGGTGTGTGTATGCATGTGGGTAAAGATGCACAAACACGCACTCCGGTTATTCTGGTTACACAGCATCGCACTGAAAACCCCACAGTATCAGGCTGTTCTCATTTAAGTGCTTAAAAACAACAACCCCTTCCATTCACTCAAAAGTGCTTCATGATTTCCAAAGTGCTTCCACGTCCATTCACTCAGCTCAAAACTCACGGCCACCTTAGGAGGTGAGTAGGGCTCATTCCTTTCATTTTACAAATAGGGAAACCGAAGCTCAGAGAGGGAAACTATTTTGGCCAAACTCAAACAGCTCCACGTCTTCCAGTCCCAAAGTCAGAGACTTCCTGGCACATAGTGACGGGTTGGTATAGGAAACTACATGGTGCTTAGTTTCTGTCCAGGGATGAAGTTGCATTGCTCTCATGCCCTGGCTTGTTACTAAGACTGGGGTCAGAAGCTTGTTTCTCAGGCTGAGCTGAATGGGAAATAAAAACTTCACAGTAGAAAAGCAGTGCTCCGGCCGGGCGCGGTGGCTCATGCCTGTAATCCCAGCACTTTGGGAGGCTGAGGTGGGTGAATCACAACGTCAAGAGTTCAAGACTAGCCCGGCCAACATGATGAAACCCTGTCTCTACTGAAAATACAATAAATTAGCCAGGTGTAGTGGTGGGTGCCTGTAATCCCAGCTACTCAGGAGGCTGAGGCAGGAGAATCACTTGAACCCGGGAGGCGGAGGTTGCAGTAAGCTGAGATCACGCCACTGCACTCCAGCCTAGACGACGGAGCTAGACTCCATCTGAAAAAAAAAGAAAAGAAAGAAAGCAGTGCTCCATGTCTTGCAAGTTCAACAACTGTAGCTCTTCAGAGCCTCCACTCAGTATGGCTTTATAGTAGGCAGTCTTATTTCTGAATTAACTTAGCTATGTGTCCTTCCTCCAACGATTCGCAGAGGAGACACCTGACCCAGCCTGGGGTAGGAGTGCTGGGTATTGGTAAGAGAAGCTTCTAGAGGAATGAAAGCCTGAGCTACTCAGCTCAAGGATGAGTGGCCATTAGCCAGGCATGGGGTACAGTGAGTGAGGATACACAGAGGTCAGGCAGGGAGAAGGACATTAACCTAGGGAAAGAGCTTAAGTGAAGATAGACTTCATGTCTACACATCCACCTTCATGATTTTCACTCCATAAGATTGCCACCTATACGATATTTATGTAATATTCGTATTGGACTATATTTAAAATTTAAATATAATTAAATAAAAAAGACATAGTAGGTTGGGTGTGGTGGCTCACTCCTGTAATCCCGACACTTTGGGAGGCCGAGGTGATGGATCACCTGAGGTCAGGAGTTCAAGACCAGCCTAACCAACATGGAGAAACCCCATCTCTACTAAAGCCAGGTGTGGTGGCGGGCATCTGTAATCCTCAGGAGTCTGAGGCAGGAGAATTGCTTGAACCCAGGAGGCGGAGGTTGCTGTGAGCCGAGATCACGCCACTGCACTCCAGCCTGGGCGACAAGAGCAAAACATCGTCTCAAAAAAAAAAACAAAAACAAACAAAAAAACCCACATAGCACATCATGGGTTTGCTTGCTGCTTTTTTCTAATATACATTAAAATAAATACCTAGCTGGGCACGGTAGCTCACTCCTGTAATCCTAGCACTTTGGGAGGCCGAGGCAGGAGGATCACCTGAGGTCAGGAGTTTGAGACCAGTCTGACCAGCATGGAGAAACCCCATCTCTACTAAAAATACAAAATTAGCCAGGCATGGTGGCGGGCGCCTGAAATCCCAGCTACTTAGGAGGCTGAGGCAGGAGAATTGCTTGAACCCAGGAGGCAGAGTTTGCAGTGAGCCGAGATTGCACCATTGCACTCCAGCCTGGGTGACAAGAGTGAAACGCCATCTCAAAAATAAATGAATAAATAAATAAATAAATAAATACCTAATTATTCAAGTGAAAAAACAGTCATCCTTTTATTCCCACAAAATCCTCTGGTATATCCAGGTAGAATGAGTACCACATTTGGGAATCTGTAAACAAAGGCACAGCGATGAGTAAGAGTGTGGGGGTGATGGGGCTGTTGAGAAAGCAGCGGGAAACGGCAAGAGGGTGGGCAGGAGTGGTGGCTCATGCCCGTAATCCCAGCAGTTTGGGAGGCCGAGGCAGGCAGTTCACCTGAGGTCAGGAGTTTGAAACCAGCTTGGCCAGCATGGCGAAACCCCGTCTCTAATGAAAATACAAAAAAAAATTAGCTGGGCGTGGTGGCGGGCGCCTGTAATCCCAGCTACTAGGGAGGCTGATGTAGGAGAATCACTTGAACTTGGGAGGCGGAGGTTGCAGTGAGCCGAAATTGTGCCACTGCACTCCAGCCTGGGTGACAGAGCAAGACTCCGTCTCAAAAAAAAAAAAAAAAAAAAAAAAAGAGCAAAAGGGAACTGGGATGTGAGGACAGGGGACTGAACAGGACCCGAACTTGGAAGGGTTTGCATGCCTGACTCAGGCTGGATCATCTCAGAGTCGTGGAGAGACAGCCACTGAAAGGCTGTGCTATGAACAGGTCACAAGGCCAGAGAAAGCCAGGACTTCTTTCCTGTGGCTCAGGCTGTACTTTGAAGATCTAGACCTCAATTATCAGGAAGCCTTGAGGAGGCAGATTTCTAACCTAGAACGAGGCTTTGAATCAGAAAACCATCATCCTGACACCTACATGACTGTGGGCAAGTCATATGACTACCTGTGGCCTCAAGTATGCTGTCTGTGAACTGGACGCATACCAAGGCACCTGGGCGGGACCTGGAGGTTGTGGGCTCCAAGTCTCTTTGCCCACTTCCCTCTAGATCAGGATTTCTCAACCTTGGCCCTATTGACATTTGAGGCCAGATAATTCCTTGCTGTGGGGAGCTGTCTTGTGTGATGTAGCATGTTTAGCCGCATCCCTAATCTCTACCTATTACATGCCAGTAGCATCCTCCAAGCTATGACAACCAAAAATGTCTCCAGACATTGCCAAATGCCCCTGGAGGAGGAGGAGGATGACACCCAGACTTGTCTTTAGAGAAGTAGAGTGAGTGCTGGTGGTGTCGGCCGTGTTGGCTGAAGCTGGACCTAGGAGAGCAGAAGGCTTCCAGCAGATGAACCAGTGCCACCCAATTTCAGAACCCCAGATGGGAAAGGAATAGTCAATGAAGGAGTTTTTATCACTGCCTTTGTCACTGAAAGTGTGACTCATTGATTCCCTAACATTCATTGACTATCGATTGTATCATTTGATGTGCAAGGAAAGACATCTCAAAGAGGGTCACATGCTTCCAGCACTCAAAAGCATGACCCATTGCTTCCCTGCTTGGGCCTGTCTTTCGTGGGAAGGCAGCCAGCAGCAGGAGAACAGACCCTTGTTTGGAGTTTAGAACAACTATGGGAATAATCAGAACAATGAGCCCACATGGCAGCAGATTCACACACAGTTTCCAGGTCCTAGAACCTGGTCAACCTGTTCTTTGACTCATAAAAACAATTATGATAATAGCATCACTTGAGCATCTACTGTGTACATTGCACACACTTATCTAATCCACACAATTCATTATCCCTATTTGATACATGAGGAAATTGAAGCTCTGTGGGATTGGCCAACTTGCACAACATTGCACAGCTATGAAATAGAAGGCAACCAGTCAAAAGTGTAGACAGCTGACTTTAGCCCAGGACTACCTGATTCCAAGTCCTTTGTTATTTCTCTTATGTCAGGCTACAAATTCTCCTTCCTGGTGGTATTGTGAGGAGGAAAGACAGCTGTAAATGTGCTAGGGTTTGAAGTACCACAGTCATTGGCTCCTTACCTTTTGTGTTGTTGTCAGAGCTTCAAGCCACATGCACATAAAATTGCAGAGTGCTACTTTTGATATTTTTAGTCTTGTCTAAAGCTGAGAAACAAAACCACAGAAATCTAGCTTAGTGAATTATTATGAGGCACATCTCTTTTTAATCACCACTCCAATCAGGAAATAGAACTTTGGCCAGGCACAGCGGCTAATGCCTGTAATCCCAGTACTTTGAAAGGTTGAGGCAGAAGGATCGCCTGAGGCCTCGTGTTTGAGACCAGCCTGAGCAAGGTAGCTAGACCCATCTCTAATTTAGAAAGGAAGGGAAGGAGGGAAGGAAGGGAGGGAGGGAGGGAGGGAGGGAGGGAATTTACTAGTCATCCCAGTAACCATCTACCAACCCCATCCCAATCATGGCTCCAATCCTCCTCCAAAAGTAACTGTTGTTCTCACTTTTATTTATTTTGTCATTTTATTTTATGTTTTGAGACAGGGTCTCACCCTCTAACCCAGGCTGGAGTGTGGTGGTACAATCATGATTCACTGCAGCCTCAACCTCCTGGGCTCAAGCAATCCTCCTGCCTCAGCCTCCCATGTAGCCGGGACCACAGGCACATGCCACCATGCCCAGCTAGGTTCTCACTTCTTCAACACTCACTTTCTCGCATTCGTCATCCAGTTAGGCATCTCTAAATATAATAATAATTTTTCTTTTTTAAAAAATTTGATATGTCTCTTAAGTCTACTTAATCTATTGATTTTATTATTAAAACTATATATTTAAAGTATATTACGTAGGCTGGGCATGGTGGATCACACCTGTAATTCTAGCACTTTGGGAGGCTCAGGCGGGTGGATCACCTGAGGCCAGGAGTTCGAGACCAGCCTGGCCCAAGTGGCGAAACCCCGTCTCTACTAAAAATACAAAAATTAGCCAGGCGTGGTGGCGGGCACCTATAATCCCAGCTACTCGTGAGGCTGAAGCATGAGAATCGCTTGAGCCGAGGAGGTGGAAGCTGCAGTGAGCTGAGATTGCACCATTGCACGCCAGCCTGGGTGACAGAGTGAGACCCTGTCTCAAAAAAATGTAAAAAGATATAAATAAAGTATATAATATGATGATATATATGATATAGATATGATACACATATAAATGTGAACTAATTACTACTGTCATGAAAATATCCTATCCATCATCTTTCTTTTTTTTTTTTTTTTTTTTTGAGATGGAGTCTTGCTCTGTCACCAGGCTGGAGTGCAGTGGGGCGATCCTGGCTCACTGCAACCTCCGCCTCCTGGATTCAAGTGATTCTCCTGCCTCAGCCTCCCAGTAGATGGGACTACAGGCGTGTGCCACCACACCCAGCTAATTTTTATATTTTTAGTAGAGACGGGGTTTCACCATGTTGGCCAGGATGATCTCGATCTCTTGACCTCGTGATCTCCCACCTCAGCCTCCCAAAGTGCTGGGATTACAGGAGTGAGCCACCTCGCCCAGCACTATCATCTTTCATAGTTATCTTTGTGAGTGTGTGTGTTTGGGTGTGTTGCATGCATGTGCGTGTGGTAGGAGCACCTAAAATTTACTTTTTAGCAAATTTTCAGTATATAATACAGTTTTATTTATTTATTTATTTAGAGACGGAGTCTCGCACCGTTGCCCAGGCTGGAGTGCAGTGGTGCAATCTGGGCTCACTGCAACCTCCACCTCCCAGGTTCCAGCAATTCTCCTGTCTTAGCCTCCTGAGTAACTGGAATTACAGGCACATGCCACCACACCCAGCTAATTTTTAGTATTTTTAGTAGAGATGGGGTTTCGCCATGTTGGCCAGGCTCGTCTCGAACTCCTGACCTCAAGTGATCCACCCGCCTCAGCCTCCCAAAGTGCTGAGATTACAAGAATGAGCCACCGCGCTCGGCCTACGATACGATATTATTAACTATAGTCCTCATGAAGCATATTAGAGCTCTAGACTTAGTACATAACTGCAAGTTCATACCATTTGACCCACTTCTGCCTTTTTCTTCCCCTCCCTGCTCCTGGTAACCACCATGTTCTACTCTGTTTTTATGTATTTGACTTTTTTTCTTTTTTTTGAGATGGAGTCTCACTCTGTCATAGGCACGCACCATCACGCCTGGCTAATGTTTGTATTTTTAGTAGAGATGGGTTTTCACCATGTTGGCCAGGGTGGTCTCGAACTTCTGACCTCAAGTGATCCACCCGCCTCGGCCTCCCAAAGTGCTGGGATTATGGGAGTGAGCCACCTAGCCTGGCCTGCATTTGACTTTTTTTTTTTTTTTTTTGTCTGATGGAGTTTCCCTCTTATTGCCCAGGCTGGAGTGCAATGATATGATCTCGGCTCACTGCAACCTCTGCCTCCCATGTCCAAGCGATTCTCCTGCCTCAGCCACCCCAGTAGCTGGGATTACAGGCGTGTGCCACCACACCTGGCTGGCATGTATTTGACTTTTTAAAAGATTTACTTATACTTGAGATCATGCAGTCTTTTTGTTATGCAGCCTGTCTTGTTTCACTTAGCATAATGTCCTCCAGGTTTACCTGTGTAGCAATCCCTCTGTTGGATATATACCAAAGGGAATGAAATCAGCACCTCATAGAGATATCTGCACTTCCATGTTCATTGCAACATTATTCACAATAGCCAAATTATAGAAACAACCTATGTGTCCAGTGATGGATGAATGAATAAAGAAATTGTGGTCCGCTAGGAGCGATGGTGGTGGCTCATACCTGTAATCCTAGCACTTTGGGAGGCTGAGGTGGGTGGATCACCTGAGGTCAGGAGTTTCAGACCAGCCTGACCAACATGGTAAAATCCTGTCTCTACTAAAAATACAAAAATTAGCTGGGGTGTGGGGGACGTGGTGGGTGGTGGCACATGCCTGTAATCCCCGTTACGTGGGAGGCTGAGGCAGTAGAATCGCTTGAACCAGGGAGGCAGAGGTTGCAGTGAGCCAAGGTCACACCATTGCACTCCAGCCTGGGCAACAAGAGTGAAACTCCATCTCAGGAAAAAAAGAAAAAAAGAAATTGTTTTATGTATATACACACACATACACACACACACATCTATACACACCTATACACACAATGGAATATTATTCAGCCTTTTAAAAGGAGAGCCTGCCATTTGCAACAACATAGATAAACCTGGAGGACATGATCCACACATTTTATATTTTTCTTAAAGTCCTCTGCAGATTGACCTTATGAAAATCTTATAAGAAGACATTTTCCCTCACATATTATTTGGTGGCTCAGTGATGAAGTTCACCTATTACATTTGATTCTGGAGAAAAAGAAAGTGCCTTTTTATATAAGACACTGATTTCTCATGGTCTGTGTCTTCATGTTTTCCCATCTTTCCACACTTTAATTTCTTCTGTGTCTTTAAATTCAGCCTTGTCTATTAGACAGATCATCTTATCATTTCCTACATGCTCAATCTTGTCTTATCTCAGTACTCCTTTAAGCAACTCATGCTATTACTAACCCTGGTTCCACCTGCCTTTCAGAGCCACGCTTTGGGAAAGCATTTTTATACTCATTCACTCTCCTTCTTTATCTTCTCTTCTACCTTGGATCGTAGACAGCTGGCTTCCATCCTCACCCTCCAGGGAACCCACTCCAGCATGTTCACCTACAACCTCCATTCAGCTAAATTTATGTGAAACAAGTTTGGCCATGAGGACCCCTCAACAATCAAGGGGGAGGGACACACGAGGGTTATTGATACAGGGTCCCACATCATGAATGGTCTTAAACCTAGGCTTCTGACATCATCTCCCAATGAGAGTACATGTGTAGTCATTGCAGTTGATGTGTTTGTATGTTCAGGGCATTAATTTGTGAAATATAATATAATAGTTCTCCCCCTTTTGGCACTACCTCCCTCTAAAAACAAAAAACAAAAAAACAGGGCCCTCAAAAATGAAAATGGCCCTAGTCTCACTCAGTCTCCAAGAAGCCCTGTAGGACCAGTTTGGGAGGCATGGCTGGGGTGACACTGGGGGACAGCATAGAGCAATACAGGCCCAGGGTAAGACCTCAGTCCCAGCTGGGCACAGTGGCTCATGCCTGTAATACCAGCACTTTGGTAGGTCAAGGCAGACGGATCACTAGACGTGAGGAGTTCGAGATCAGTCTGGCCAACATGATGAAACAACATCTCTATTAAAAATATAAATATTAGCCGGTCATAATGGTGCATGCCTGTAATCACAGCTGCTCAGGTGGCTGAGGCAGGAGAATTGCTTGAACCCAGGAGGTGGCAGTGAGTCATCTCACCACTGTACTCCAGCCTGGGCAACAGTGAGGCTATGTCTCAAAAAAACAAAATAGATCCCAGTCTCAGATCCATAGATCCCTCTTTCCCCTCTGAACTTCCACTTTTTACCTCTCACCTCACTGGGTTATTGTGAAGATCCAAACTACAGTGAAGTCACGTATGCACAAGAACTTTACAAAGGCCAGCTATTACTCAGAAAAGTCACCCAGGATCCCTAGCAGTGTTTTTTCCTTAAATGAATCAGAATAGAATAAATCAGAAATTCTCAGGGGGCACCGCCCATAGAAAGGGTGAGAGTATTGTTTCTGGGTTTGTTTGTTTGTTTGTTTGTTTCTGATATGGAGTCTCACTTTGTTGCCCAGGCTGGAGTGCAGTGGCACGATCTCAGCTCACTGCAACCTTCGCCTCCCAGATTCAAGCAATTCTCCTGCCTCAGCTTCCCAAGTAGCTGGGATTACAGGCATGTGCCACCACGTCCATCTAATTTTTGTATTTTTAATACAGACGGGGTTTCACCATGCTGACCAGGCTGGTCTCAAACTCCTGACTTCATGATCCGCCTGCCTCAGCCTCCCGAAAGTGCTGGGATTAGAGGCAGGAGCCACGGCTTGAGAGTATTGTTGTATAGAATTTATTGCAGTTATATATATACATGGACAGATATATGTTTATACTAGTGGTGATATAAAATGTATTTCTTACTATAGGCCACATTTTTCTAATGTTTGAAAAACAGTGCATGATAGGCATCTTTACATACATCTCCCTTGAGAATGGGTCTTGTTATCTTCATTTACAAATGAACACATTGAGGCTCAGAGAAGATAAGTGACCAGGGATATATAAGCCAGGTTTAGACCTAAGGTCTTGAAAACCTACTAAAATGTCTAAGTTTATGAATCACCTGGGGGCATCTTTTAAATACTGATTTCTGGCTCTCTGCGGAGGTTCTGATGGGGTGAGGGAGGTAGTTATGAATGTGCATTTTTAATATTGCCTTCAGGCAATCTGAGTGCTGGTGATCCTGCCTGCCACACTGTACGTCACTAGTTTGGAGCAGTGGTCCCTCAAGAGCTTTGCTTGACCTACTGTGGGGCTGGAGAAAAGCATTTAAACTCCAGTTTCTACTCGTGTTCGTGCCATTCTTTCATAATATCTATGTGCCTATAATCTACATATTATACAATTGTACATATATAAACACCAATATGGGCATATAATGTATGTCTGGCCCCATGAACACCTGGCTTTATACAAGTGCACATATGAGCACACGATACAGACACATTATAGGCATATAATTGGGCAATGTTATATTATCAGTTTTCACTGGTTGGGAAACAACGAGGAATAGGAAGGAGATTGCTGCTCTGAGCTACCGTCACCACCACGTGAAGGCTGTTTCAGACAGACAATTGTTCTTGGTTGCTCATCTGAGGAGGTCATAGGCAGTTCCAGACCTTGTAGGGAGTATTGTGTACACAAAATACAATGAGAGGAGGCCAAGGCAGGCAGATCACCTGAGCTCAGGAGTTCGAGACAAGCCTGGGCAACATGGTAAAACCCCGTCTCTACAAAAAATACAAAATTAGCCAGATGTGGTGGCGCAAACCTGTAATCCCAGCTATGTGGGAGGCTGAGGCAGGAGAATTGCTTGAATCTGGGAGATGGAGGTTGCGGTGAGTTAAGATCGCACCACTGCACTCTAGCCTGGGCAACAAGAGCAAAACTCCATCTCAAAAAAAAAACATAAATAAAAAATAAGAGCTCTGGTGGCTGGGCATGGCGGCTCACACCTAAAATCCCAGCACTTTGGGAGGCTGAGGCAGGTGATTGCTTGAGGCCAGGAGTTTGAGAGCAGCCTGGCCAACATGGTGAAATCCCACCTCTGCTAAAAATACAAAAATCAGCTGGGCATGGTGGCGCACACTTGTAGCCCCAGCTACTCGGGAGGCTGAGGCAGGAGAATTGCTTGAACCTGGGAGGTGGAGGTTGCAGTGAGCAGAGATGGTGCCACTGCACTCCATCCCGGGCAACAGAGTGAAACTCCATCTCAAAAAAAAAAAAGCTTTTGGTGAGGGGACCTGAACGGACAGGGTGTTGTCTCTGTCACACTGAAGAAACCAGCTCCCCTCTTACCTCAATTGTATGGTCCTTTCTGATCCAAACAAGATTAAGATGGCCCATTCATCACTTGTCAAGAGGAGGTCTGAAATCCTAGGAAGGGGGAACTTGGAATCAATCATTCAGTCAACGCTTGTACAGATCATTCTGAAAATGCCCAGTGAGGTTGCAGGAAACCTAGGAGGAGACAAAACCATATAAGTTGTGGCAATATAACAATGTTTGGGGAGAAAAGATGTAAAAACAGCCAGGCGTAGTGGCTCACGCCTATAATCCCAGCACTTTGGGAGGCTGAGGTGGGCAGATCATGAGGTCAAGAGATCGAGACCATTCTGGCCAATGTGGTGAAACCCCGTCTCTACCAAAAATACAAAAATTAGCCGGGTGTGGTGGTGCGCACCTGTAGTCCCAGCTACTCAGGCGGCTGAGGCAAGAGAATCGCTTGAACCCAGGAGGCGGAGGTTGCGGTGAGGCGAGATCACGCCACTGCACTCCTACCTGGCGACAGAGCGAGACTCTGTCTCAAAAAAAAAAAAAAGGAAGAAAGAAAGAAACAATATGAAAAGGTAAATACGGTAATAAATGCCAGCATATTTCTTTCCTTATGTTTATATGATTTTGAAACACATTGTTAATAAAACACCTGGGGGTTTCCTTTTAACTGCAGATACAGTCTGTGGAGTCCATGCTGAAAGCACACAAAGCCTGTACTGTGGCTGAAATTGATTTCGTTTTAATCTTCTGTAATGATGCCATTATTTTTACAGCTGCTTCTACAACCCCATACATGATTTACATGCAAGTGCTGGCCTCTCTTTTTATATAGGTATGTACTGTCCCCTGTAAACTGTAAATTCCCCCAGGGCAGGGCCCATGTTGGCACAGGGTTGGGGGTGGGGGAGAAAAGAGCACAGGGTTTGGAGACTGGTGTCTTGAGACTCAAAGCCTGGCTTTGACATATATTGGCTGGGCAACCTTGAGCAAGCTATTTAATGTGTGAGCCCCTAGAGGTTAATTAAACCTTATCTAGTAACTACTCGTGGCTGAAATGAAAGATATGGCATAAAAGCCTGTCAAGTGATTGGCGGCCTGAATAGGATTTGCATATTCCTCGGAACTCAGTGTTTTATAATGAAGTATTTGCTTGGGAACTTTTGCTCCAGAACCTCATCTATTTGCTTTATAGTGCTCATGTTAGTTGAGGAAGGATTAACAAGAAAGTCGTGACTTCCTTGTCCCTTACTAGGTTTTTGTTTGTTTTTCGTTTTGTTTTGTTATGCTTTCAGACTGTGTCCAGCTTTATTACAGAAACTTTCTATAAACAACCATGGTATTTCAGACAGGACATGGGTAGACAATCGTTAACAGTATATAACAACCTTCAAACTCCTTTCTTCAATGGGCTGCCAAAAATCAGGAAGCCACTATAAAGCCCGATGAAGTCTTCAACTGATGCCCTGAACAGGGAAAGTTTAGAGTGAGGGTTGGCATTTCACATTTAGCATGTTGTTTAACAACTTTTCACGAGCCAATCCTGATTTTCAGGAAGTGAAATGAAAATGGCAGAATTTATCTGAAGAGCCACAAGCTAGAGATGGAACCATGGTTCTTTTGAGGGGTGCCATCTCAGTGGCATCACTGGAAAGTCCAGATTGCCTGACACACTGGCAACCAATGACTCAGGGTAAGGTCCCAACAGATGTCTGGGCTTAAGGGAGCTAAGTCTATGCTGAAAGATGGAAAGGGAGAAGAGGACATAAAAATGAATTTGTTTTTTCATACCACAAGGCTTTTGTGCCAAGGTGGCCAAGTGTGTCAAAGTCAGGGAGTCCCTCCTCCTGGGAGCCAAGAGGAACTCTCTCAAACCTAGAAGGGAAATGTGTTTTCCCCACATCAATCCAGCTTCAGAGACATTCTATCAGTGACATATGCCCCGTCCCCCCAAAACAACAATGAAGTGTTCCATGTGCTCACAGCATAGCTTCAAAAAAAAAAAAAAAAAAAGGCCGGGCATGGTGGCTCACAGCTGTAATCCCAGCACTTTGGGAGGCCGAGGCAGGTGGATCAGCTGAGGTCAGGAGTTCAAGACCAGCCTGGGTAACCTGGTGAAACCCGTCTCTATTGAAAATACAAAAAACTTAGCAGGACGAGGTAGTGGGCACCTATAATCCCAGCTACTCGGGAGGCTGAGGCAGGAGAATCACTTGAACCCGGGAGGCGGAGGTTGCAGTGAGCCAGGATTGCGCCGTTGCACTCCAGCCTGGGTGATAGAGCAAGACTCTGCCTCAAAAAAAAAAAAAAAAAGTAAGGTTGGCTGGGAGTGGTGGCTTACGCCTGTAATCCCAGCACTTTGGGAGGCCAAGGCGGGTGAACCACAAGGTCAGGGGTTTGAGACCAGCCTGGTCAACATGGTGAAACCCCATCCCTACTAAAAATACAAAAAATTAGCTGAACGGAGTGGCGGGCACCTGTAATCCCAGCCACTTGGGAGGCCGAGGCAGGAGAATCGCTTGAACCTGGGAGGTGGAGGCTGCAGTGAGCCGAGATCATGCCACTGCACTCCAGCCGGGCGACAGAGTGAGACTCCGTCTCAAAAAAGAAAAAGAAAAAAAAAGGAAAACAAAATTCTGCATTTTTATAAAACTTGATAAAAATAGTATTTCAAAGGGCTGGGCGCGGTGGCTCACGCCTGTAATCCTAGCATTTTGGGAGGCCAAGGTGGGCGAATCATGAGGTCAGGAGATCGAGACCATCCTGGCTAATATGGTGAAACCCCGTCTCTACTAAAAATACAAAAAATTTAGCCAGGTGTGGTGGGCGCCTGTAGTCCCAGCTACTCGGGAGGCTGAGGCAGGAGAATGGCTTGAACCCAGGAGGCGGAGCTTGCAGTGAGCCAAAATCGTGCCACTGCACTCCAGCCTGGGCAAATACTTCATTATAAAACACTGAGTTCCGAGGAGTATGCAAATCCTATTCAGGCCGCCAATCACTTGACAGACTTTTATGCCGTATCTTTCATTTCAGTCACGAATAGTTACTAGATAAGGTTTAATTAACCTCTAAGGGCTCACACATTAAATAGCTTGCTCAAGGTTGCCCAGCCAGTATATGTGAGAGCCAGGCTTTGAGTCTAGAGACATCTGTCTCAAAAAAAAAAAAAAAACAAAAAAACAAAAAAAATAGTATTTCAAACTGTACAGTCAGCAGAAGTACACAAGTTATCAAAAATACAGACAGTACACTTGGCGTCTCTAGCACCTTCAGTTTTCTGTGCCTGGTCTGATTTGGCATCTCCATTTTCTGCAGGGTTATTCCCCTCCTTGCCAGCATCAGCTTTTCCCTTTATCCTTTGGGTACCTTCTCTCCCTTCTTTGCAGGGGCCTTTTTAAGCTTGGGCTCTGGCTTTGGAGGAGCAGGTTTAGCAGACAACTTCGTGGATTTTCTCTGTGGTTCGTCCTTAACTTTGGATTTATCTCCTTTAGCATCCCCTTCACCCTTTCTCTTGGGCATGGTGGTGACAATGGCAGCAGGATGTGGGTGCTGGGTATGGGATGCAAGGGCACAGGGCTTTGGTCGGTCCAGGGGTTGTTCTTGCCTCTTCTTCTTCACACTGCTCCTAGGTTTTTATTTTTAAATTTTTATTTGGAAATAATTTTTAACTTGCAAAAGCACAAATAGTATAAGTCACCCATATATCCTTTACCCAGATTCACCTATTGCTAAGATTGTACTCTGTTTGAGGGTAAGTTACAGGCATCATGGCCTTTCACCCCTAAATACTTCAGTGTGCATTTACAAAAGATAGGAATATCCAACTTCATTCAACTTCACTTATCATTTCATACATTTACATTGATATGGGACTTTTGTCTTACGTACCATCCATATTCCAAATTTGTCAGTCAATTTATATTAAGTTTTGACTGTCTGGAACTCATCTCAACGTGCCAGATGTGGCCCCTTGGAACTTTCAACTTGCAGCCATGGGGAGTGAAATTAATATGGATTCTTTTCCACGTTCAGGGCAAGGAATTGAAATAGAATAGAAGTATAATGACAAATTTTTTTGAGGTCCCCCAAGTTATAGCAAAGAGCATGCTTGGTGCTCTTAAAGACCTAGATCAATTCTTTTAAATGACTAGTGAAGGAATGGGGGAACTAAGGTGTAAACAGGGGAAGGGACTTGCCTTAGACTCTAAGACCATGGGCCAGTGAGTAGATGAGCTAAAGCTGGAAATCATCAAGCATCAGAGGCCCTAGGAACTTCACTCCAACAATCTCTTCTTAGAGATGACATTATCAGCATTATTTAGGAACTGTACCTCGGCTTGTACTCCTTGTCCCAATACCCTGGAAATGTGACCTAGTTAATAATAATGATAAAAATAGCTAGTGTTTATGAAATGCTTCCTATGAGGTAGACACTGTTTTAAACACTTATAAGCAGTATCCCATTTAATTCTTATTAATGATCTTAACTTTAACAAGCCCTATTGTCTTCATTTTACAGATGATGACACTGAGGCTTTGCTAGGTTAAATAATCTAAACCAAAGTCTCACCCTTAACCTTGGCTTTATCTCCACTTGAGTCTAGGCTTCCAGTTTCAAATTTATTTAACCATAGCACCATGAAGAGGGGAGTAAGCACCATGGATCTTTGGAGGCCAGTGTTTGGGAGGAGCTGGAAAGGGTCAAGTAGGGCTTCTCAAATGTACATCAAAACTCATATTCATAACATGTAAGTGTGCAGAGACACTTCCCATTGGTTGCTTCCTTGTGTCCTTCCAACCGCCCATTTAAAAAAGGGTAAACATAAGGTTCAGAGTGGTTCAAGCTGGGCACAGTGGCTCATGCCTGTAATCCCAGCACTTTGGGAGGCCGAAGAGGGCAGATCACCTGAGGCCAGGAGTTCGAGACCAGCCTGGCCAACATGATGAAACCCCGTCTCTACTAAAAAAAATTAGCCATACGTGGTGGCATGCACCTGTAATCCCAGCTACTCGGGAGACTGAGTTGGGAGAATTGCTTGAACCTGGGAGGTAGAGGCTGCAGTAAGCTGAGATCGTGCCACCGCACTCCAACCTGGGTGACAGAGCAAGACTTCATCTAAAAAAAAAAAAAAAAAAAAGGTTCAAAGGTTCAGTGAGTTCCACAAGGTCCCATGGCTAATCTGTGACTGAGCAGAGATTTGACCTAAGTCTGCCGTTTTCTTATTCTGTCACCAAAGCAAGCAGATGATATGTGATGAGTTATGACATTACATATTTAGAGACTTCAGGATTCATGTTGTAAATAAAGTCATAATAGCTCTGTTATCTAAGCAAACTTCAAAGCCACCTTGCTGGTTTAAGCACTACTTGCTAATTGGCAGAGTAGAGTCTCTGGGTCAATGCCCCATAGAGCTGAAGACCCAATTCTGTCTTATCTCACCTAGAGTCTGAGGGAATCAACATAGTTAGAATGTCTCCGGCAGCTAAGAACAAACAAAAGGGGTGGGACTCTCAGAGGCCTACATGTAAATCTCAACAGCCAGCTCACAAATCTCAGCAACTGGCCTGTGGGTCTCAGCAGCTGATATGAATATTAGCAGCCAGCACAGATATCTACAGCCAGAGCGGATCTCAGCAGCCAGCTCAGCTCTGTGGGACTGGGAGAAAGCACACAGTCCTGAGACTTCTCTTTCAGGAGGGAGAGCTTGCACCCAACAACCAGCATCTCTGTGCATAACCCCAGGGAAAAAAATTGGACAGCTCTCAGCACCTGGCAGAGCACTGCAGGATCAGGAGGAGGCGCACAATCCTGAGACTTCTCCAGCAGGAGACAGAGAGAGAGGAGTAAAGTAGGCACACACACAGAAAAGATCTGAGAGATTCCCAGAATCTCTAACTGGATGGATTGGTGAAGGTCTATCCCTGCCTAATGTACAAAGACTGAAAGAGGTGGTTACTTCTTCAGATGTGCAGACAGGAATGCAAAACTACAAGGAACACAAAGAATCAGGGAAATATGACATCACCAAAGGAATGATATAAATCTCCAGCAACCAACCCTAAAGAAATGGAGATCTGTGAATTGTCTGACAAATATTCAAAATAATTTTTTTTTTTTTGAGACGGAGTCTGGCTTTGTCACCCAGGCTGGAGTGCAGTGACAGGATCTCAGCTCACTGCAATCTCTGCCTCCTGGGTTCAAGCGATTCTCCTGCTTCAGCTTCCCGAGTAGCTGGGATTACAGGCATGCGCCACCACGTCCAGCTAATTTTTGTATTTTTAGTAGAGACAAAGTTTCACCATTTTGGCCAGGCTGGTCTCGAACTCCTGACCTCAAGTGATCCACCTGCCTCGGCCTCCAAAAGTGCTGGGATTACAGGTGTAAGCCACCACGTCTGGCTCAAAATAATCATCTTAAAGCAGCTCAGTGAGCTACAAGAGAACGTAGATAGAACACTAAATAATACCATGAAAGCAATACAAAACTAAAATGAAAAAAGTCAACCAAAAGACAGAAGCCATAAAAAAGTAGAAATGCTGAGGCTCAAGGAAAAAGAAAAGAAAAGAAAACTATTTATCTGATAAAGAGCTAGTTTCACTTACGCAAGTGAAATAAACCAGCCACAGAAAGGCACATTTTACATGATCTCAATTATACGAGGTATCTAAAATAGTTAAACTCATAAAAGCATAGAGTAAAATGGTGGTTGTAAGGGGTTGGAGGAAGAAAGAAATGGGGAATTGTTGCTTAATGGGTATAAAATTTTTGTTACCCAAGATGAGTAAGTTCTAGAGAACTGTTGTATAACATAGCGCCTGCAGTTAACAATATGGCATTGTGCACTTAAAAATTTGTTAAGATCTCATGTTAAGATTTCATGTTAAGTCCACAAACTACACACACAGAAAGGGATACAAGAAAACATTTTGAGAGATGGATATGTTTATTACTTTGATTGTGGTAATGAAATCATGGGTATATCTAAACTCATCAGTTTGTATACATTAAATATACAATCTAGATGTACATATATCTCAATAAAGCTAATAAAGCAAAAAACAAAAAATAAAACTGTTTATTGGGCTGTGCGTGGTGGCTCATGCCTGTAATCTCAGCACTTTGGGAGGTGGGAGGATCGCTTGAGCTCAGGAGTTCAAGACCAGCCTGGTCAACATAAACTTTGAATGTAATGTGGTGGGAAGAGAAGGATCAGATCTAAATTTGAATGCTGGCTGTGCTGTGAATCAGCAAATCTCTTCCCCTCTCAGAGCCTCAGTTTCTTCATGTGAAAAAGGGGCTAATGCAAGCCCTACCTATGTAAGAGCCTGTTTTGGCTCAGGCTTCCAACAACTGTTTCTCACCCATGCTTTTCATGGCTTGTCCTCAGAAGTTCCCCACAAAGGGGTCCTATGGTTGTTCCCACTTTACAAATGAGGTGACTACTAGACACATTTATATAGTTGTCTCTCCTATCAGACTGCGGACCATTTGGTGACAGAGATTATATCATATCCCTTCGCGTGTTTCCAAACACAGAAATTAGCATACTGTAATTAGCAAATGCTTAGTAAAGAGCTTTTTTAAAAACACACACAGGCTGGGCACTGTGGCTCACGCCTGTAATCCCAGCACTTTGGGAGGCCAAGGCGGGTGGATCATGAGGTCAGGAGTTCAAGACCAGCCTGGCCAAGATGGTGAAACCCGGTCTCTACTAAAAAAAAAAACAAAAGTTAGCCAGGTGTGGTGGTGGACACCTATAATCCCAGCTACTCAGGAGGCTGAGGCAGAGAATTGTTTGAACCCGGAGGCAGAGGTTACAGTGAGCCGAGATCATGCCACTACACTCTAGCCTGGGCAACAGAACGAGACTCCATCTTAAAAACAAACAAAAAACAGACACACACACACACACACACACACACACACACACACAATATGTATCACACAAATAAAATATTACATTTTCAACTGCCTGGCATTTACCAGTTTGAAAGTGGAGCCGACTGCTTTACGCCAGAGGATGATAAACCCTCTCATTTTTAGTTTGGCTTCTAAGTATGCTCATCACCTGATAGTAACTTATTTTTGCTTCCTGTGAGTCAGAGAGCAAAAGGCACTGTCTCCAAGCCACCAGGGCAACCTTTAAACAAACGGCCCCATAATGAATAGTTTTGGTAAAGTAACAGCC